>NC_000006.12:101434426-101585941 GCF_000001405.40 Homo sapiens | reverse complement strand
TTCAAAAGTTAATCATTTTTTGTTTCCAGGAGGAAAAATTTTATGTTAGCTTGCTCCACCACATGATTGTACAGCTCTTACCTCTAATGATACTGTTATTCCTGTTTTGTATTTTACTTTTGTCTTCACTGTAGCTGCCTCAAACTTATTTTCTGAATCATCTATTATTTATATTTGCCTATTTGTTTGCCAATTCTTTGTTCATCATTGCTCATAATGTGTCACCTTTTTCCACCTGGTTCCAATTTCTTGCAGTGCATTTAGAAGTTAATCCATGGTCACTTATACTCTTTGCCTAGAGCACCATATTCACAAGGCCCTTAATATGAAACATCAATTGCATGTGTTCTTTAAGTGGAAACAATTCTATGAATACCCTGTATCACATTTACCTCATTATGTTGTGCTACCTTTTTATTTGTATTGTATCCTCTTGAGGATATGAATTGCTTGAGATTAGGGTATGTAAATTACTCATTACTACAAGATGGCATAGTACATTTGACTCTGTAGCCACTATTTGTTGAATGACTGAATGATTGAATAAAGACATGAATATGTTTTATCATAGTGGACCAGTGGACTAACATTCTTGTACACTGAATATACACATACTCATACTCACATACGTATATAAACACACATATACAATTTCAGACATTTTAATATCTATTTTAAAAAACTGTTCTAAAGTTTACCAAAAACACATAGCAACAAATGATTTTGAAAATTCGATAACTTTTGACCAAACGTCTATCTTACTAATTTATTAATGTTGATTATTTTGGGGAAATCTCAATTCTTTACATTATAATCATGCCTAAGGGTTATAAGGAGATTATTATAAACTTGCTCAATTATTCATATAGCTGAGAAATAAGTATTTGAGTTGGATTTTTCTACTTCACTTTTCAAATGAAAAGGTACTTACTCAGAGCTTAGGAAATGAGAAATGCTGGTTTACTAACGAGAATTCTCTTATATGTAGTTACATCTCCACTTACTGAAATCTCAACATTTCAGTAAGTGGTGATGTAACTACATAAAAGAGGATTATGTAACTAAAAGTCAGGTTCTGTAATCTTGCATTTTTGCATTTTTGATGTGTATGTGTGTACATAGTTGTAAATAAATCACAACTGTAGCTAGTTGCGAATGCCTCATTGCACTTATCCATAATGCCAGTTCCTTCTCTTTCTCTTTGAGTTTTCTAGGTATATTATAACTTTGGGTAGTTATGCTGATTTAGAAGATCTGTTATATTCTCTAAAGATGTACAAATTGAAACAATTGTACAGTACAGAAGGAGCTAGTAACAACTTTGATGCTTATTTACTTCACAGAAGAAATGATTCATTCTTTTGACTTTGTTCTTCTAGATTTTGTTCCTCAAATAGTCCTATATTCATATTTCTTACAGCATTAAAAATGTTAGTTTTGCTACTGTCTCCTAATGCTAAGGAAATATTTCCTGATGTACAAAGCAGACTTTTTTAGTCTTATTATGAGAAAAAAAATAAGTTCTGTGAAATTGCATTAAACTAGACCATTTTTATTTGAAAACCTGAGAATTGATTTTCTTGAAGAAAAATCTTCCTCTAGAGTGAAAGAAACAAATTCTACTAATGCATAAAATAATTTGAATTGTGTTTGAGTAGATGGGCACAACTGAGAGGAGAAAGTTTGCCTTATTTTAATATTGCTCTTAAGTGACCTGCTTTGCATCACTAAATCTAGGAAAGTAAAACTGAGTATTACAAATGAAGTGGAATTACAAGATTTCTCTATCTTATAAATACAAATTCATTTCAAAATGTTATAATCATATTTTTTCTTTAACAGAAAAATATTAAAATAGTACATACACACAAAACAAGATCCATTTACCTTTGTATTTATGCACATGACATCAACTGCAGCCATCATGCCAATACTCAATGACAGATGGTATATGATATAAAGAAATCTAGTTATATACATATATATCATATAAAATCTGCCATATTAAAAAAGCTTTTGTTCACATCAAAGCTGCTTTTAATTTTCTCTGCCAGAGTAAGCAATTTATTAGGCAATATGTTTGATGAGAGCAATTAAATTCCCATCTTTCCAGGATGGTAGCATCTTTCATGGACAAGACATACAACATCAAACAAAAGCACCAAATGAAATGAAAGGACAAAAAAAGCCAGTTGCATTAGTTATCACTAAACAAGTTTTTTTCTGTCCCCAGCTGTCAAAATATAACAATGGGCTACTTTGCAATAATACTTTTCTATGTGGAAAATATGCAAGTAATCATCCAACAAAAAAATCATAGGTTTTTTTCATCACTATATAGGGCCTTAGAAAACATGTAGCAAGTCCACTATCTGATGCATCATAGTTGAGGAAGCTAAGGACTAGAGGGCAAATTGTACAAGGCTCTTTGAATTGCAAGCATCAGCAGTTCACTCAGGCAGTCTTAAATAATGGGGATTTATAATGTAGCTACACATGGCAATAAGGCAGAAAAACATTCTCATAGGAATCAAAGAAGAGAAGTTTTACATTGTTCAGGATCCACACAGCTCTTTCTCAACTTTTTGCTCCAAAAGCCCTAAGAGCTGGAGTTGGTGCATCTTCCTGACTTTATGACACCTTCATTAACGTGGCTTAGGTATCCATTAAGTGTCAGCTTCTCTCAGTGTCTTTTTTGACTAATTATCCCTCCACCAGCCGACTCCCCTTTATTGGCTGTATTATCTTCTCACCTCAATCAGTCTTTTCTCAAACATCCACTAAACATTTGCTTAATCACAGCTTCTCTATACTTGAAAATAGCTGTAACTTCTGCTTCCACTGCTCCCTCATGGCCTTTCTCTGCCTCCTGGCCTTTCTCTGTTATGCCTCCCTTGGCCTTGCCTGATTGTCTCCTTATTTCATTGTTCAATTTTCCAGGAGACAAAACCTCATTCATCTGAGTAATCTGTACTGTTTGAGAGAACAGGGCTTTCCACAACAGGCTATTCACAGGACTCTGCCCACTGCAGATTGTAGTGGCTATGGACAAGAAAGAGGTTAGAAAAGTGGGCAAATAACATGAAAACCACATGGTTTCCTCTGCTCAAGGAATAGGTACACAGAAGCTTCCATTTGTCAGGAATTGTATGTGAACTATACAGTTCCATTATACATAACTGAAATCCTTACTCCCTTTATGTGTGTATTTCATGCTCTTCACAAATTGAAATGTAGACTATCCTCTGTACATTACCAACGTGTTTTCATTTCCATGTAGATTTCCTTATGTTGTACTTTTTGTCTTATAAATCTTTCAATTCCCATCTGTATTAGTCCATTCTCATGCTGCTTTGAAGAAATGCCTGAGGCTGCATAATTTATAAAGAAAAGACATCTAACTGACTCACAGTTCTGCAAGGCTGAGGAGACCTCAGGAAACTTACAATCATGGCAGAAGGCACCTCTTCACAGGGCAGCAGGAGAGAGAATGAGAGCCAAGCGAAGGGGGAAATCCCTTATAAAATCATCAAATCTCTTTATCCAGTCTATCATTGATGGGCATTTGGGTTGGGAAACCATCATTCTCAGCAAACTAGCACAAAAACAGAAAACCAAACACCACATGTTCTCACTCCTAAGTGGGAGCTGAACAATGAGAACACGTGGACACAAGGAGGGGAACATACCGGGGCCTGTTGGCCTGTTGGGGAGTAGGGGGCTAGGAGAGGGATAGCATTAGGAGAAATACCTGATGTAGATGATGGATTGATGGGTGCAGCAAACCACCATGGCACATGTATACCTATGTAACAAACCTGTACGTTCTGCACATGTATCCCAGAACTGAAAGTATAATAAAAAATAAAAATAAAAACAATGAAAAAAAAACCCATCAGATCTCATGAGAACTCACTATCACAAGGACAGTATGGGGGAAAAGCATCCCCATGATTCAATTATCTCCACCTGGTCCTACCCTTGACATGTGGGGATTATTATAATTCAAGGTGAGATTTGGGTTGTGAGGCAGAACCAAGCCATGTCACCATCTTTTTTGTCTGAAATCCAACCACACATTCAGGGCCCATTTTTAGGTGTCAGTTTCTCAAAGACACCAATCTTATTTCCCCTTAGTATTTTACTTCTAACATTTTATTTAGTATTTTACTTCTAAGAGTTTATGCCATTAATATTCTATCTTATACTACAGACAGATATTTGTGTGTTTCATCTCCTAAACCAGATTTTAATTTTCTGGAAGGCATGGAGTATTCTTATTTCATCTCTATCTTAAGCAGCACTTACACTAGTGTTGTATAGTTAATGCTCAGTAAATTCTCACAGAATATATTAATTCAACCATTCAACAAACATTCATTGAGTGCCCTGTGGTGGGTAATATTAATTGGATTGAAGGATGCAATAAAAAGACTAGACTGACTTAGTCTCCCAGACTACATCTTTCTCCCATGCTGGATGTTTCCTGTCCTCAAACACTGGACACCAAGTTCTTCAGCTTTGGGACTTGGACTGGATTCCTTGCTCCTCAGCTTGCAAACGGCCTATTGTGGGACCTCAACTTGTGATCCTGTGAGTCAATACTCCTTAATTATATATACATATACATATGTATATACACACACACACACACGTGTGTATACATGTATACACGTGTAGATATATGTGTATATATACACATATATGTGTGTGAGTGTGTGTGAATGTATATATATGCGTATATATATGTGTGTGTGTGTATATATATATATATGTATATATATCTCCTATTAATTCTGTCCCTCTGGAGAAACGTAACACATGCCTAATGTGTGCTGGGCACTATTGTAGAGTCTAGAGATACAGTAGTGACTGAAAAAAGGCAAAAATCCCTACTCTCTTGAAACTTACATTCTATCAGGGGAAAAATAAGTAAAATATAGAGGATGAGAGAGGGTAATTATTGTTATGGAGAAAAATAAAGCACAGAAGAAAAATTAGGAGTGCTAGGAGTTGGGCAGTAATTTTAATAGAATGATCATGCAAATCATCACTGAGAAGGTAGCATTGGAGAATAGGCATAGATGAGGGGAATTGAGAGGGAACTATGCAGATAACTGAAGGAAGTGCATTCCTGGTAAAAGGAACAGCAAAGTGTAAACTCCCAGAGGCAGGAGCATGCCTGGCATTTCCAAGAAAGGGCAAGGAGGTCACAGAGGCTGAGAAAGGAAGAGAAAGATGGTAGGAACTTAGGGCAGAGAGGTTCGGGTGGGAAGTGGGGGTTAGTTAGGGCCTTAGAGGTGCTTGTTGGGATTTTGACTTTTTCCAGAAGAATGCTATAGTGCCATTCACACTTTAAAAGAATCACTTTGAATATTGTGTTCAAAAGAAACAATGGATAGATGCAGGTGAACTAATGGGAGGCTCCTGTAATAATGGAGATGTGAAATAATAGTGGCTTAGAGTAGGAAGGTAGTGGAAGAGGTGGTGAAAAATGGTCAGATTCTGGACATAACTGTAAGGTAGAGCTGACAGATTTGACTAACAGATCACACATGGGGTATAGGGGAAAGAGACAATTTAAAAATGACTTCAAATGTTTCTGGCCTGTACAGTTGGGAGGTTGGGTAGCCATTTGTTAAATCAGGGAAGATTCCAAAAAAACCAACCAACAAAAGAACCAACCAGCCAAACAAAATCTCCAGGTTGGCTGGGAATAAAATAAAGAGTTCAGTTTGAGATGTCATAGAGAAAGTTGGCTGTAAGAATCTATATTATAGGGCATTAGCCAGAGATGAGATACTAATTAGGAAGTCATCAGATTGTGGCAGTATTTAAAGTTACGAGAATTAGATACAATCATTTGAGAAAAAAAGTTGTAGAATAAGATGTGAAGAAGTCCAAGGACTTCAAGCCTTGGGGCTTTCCAAAATGTAGTGATAAATTAAGGAAGACTCCCAAAGGAGGATGAGAAGAAGTAGTCATAAAGTTGGAAAGGAATTTAAAAAAGAATGGGACTGTAGAAGCCCAGAGAAGACAATGTTTCCAGAAGAAAGGGTATCAAATGCATTTCTTTTTTTTTTTTTTTTTTTAAGACACAGTCTCGCTCTGTTGCCAGGTTGGAGTTCAGTGGCATGATCTCGGCTCACTGCAACCTCCGCCTCCTGGGTTCAAGTGATTCTCCTGCCTCAGCCTCCTGAGTAGCTGGGACAACAGGTGCACACCACCACACCCAACTAATTTTTGTATTTTTAGTAGAGATGGGGTTTCGCCATGTTGGCAAGGATGGCCTTGATCTCTTGACCTTGTGATCCACCCGCCTTGGCCTCCCAAAGTGCTGGGATTACAGGCATGATCCACCATGCCCGGCCCAAATGTATCTTTTAAACTGTTAGAAAGATAGACTAAGTGAGGACAGCCATTGCAGAGAAGAAAAAGAAAAAGAAAGAAAGAGAAAGAAAAAGAAAAAAGAGAGAAAGCGAAAGAAAGAAAGAAAAAAAAGAAATAAAAGATAAAGAAAGATAAAGAGACAAAGAGAAAAGAAAAGAGAGCATGATGAAACTGTCTGCAGAGCATTTTGGAAGCAATCTTCCTGACTAGAGATGGAAATACCTTAAAGTTATTATGGTATTATGAAAAGAAAATGAATCATGAAATATACAACCTTCATTTTGAATCTTAACTGCTGCTTTCTAAGTTCATGACCATGGGAATATATACTTCATTTCTTTGACTCTCAGTTCTCTTATCAGCAAAAGGAGAATAACACTATATGTATAACAAGAGATATTATACTGATCAAGGGAGTGTGTGTGTGTGTGTGACATCAGGCATTTACTATGTGCTTTTAATGTGCCTAGTGTTGGTCTAAGTACACACATATAACCTACATTTACTTTATTTATTTAACAATATTTTGCTAACTTCTGTTACATTTTACAGATTAGGAAAATGAAACACATCTAAAGAAGTTAAATGCCTGCAGTCACACCTCAGAAAATGGTAGGAGTTGTGATTCAAACCAGTATGATCAGGCTTCAGAATTGCTTTTGAAAACTGTTTTATTTTGCATCTCAATGGATGGAATTTATATGTTGCTGGATGTATAGTAGATATTCAATAAATGTTCACTGAATTTGAATGTAGGACATCAACAACAATTTTATTCCTGAATCTAGAAATGAGCCTTCATCAAATAGTTCTTAGGCAGTTTAGAAAAGCACCCCATGAAGCCAAAGAGGAATATTCAGGTGGGGAAGGTGGGAAGGCCAAAGGGTGTAATTAAGGCACTTACAGGTAGAGTGGCCACAGCTGTTCTATCCCCTCCTGGCTACCTCTCAGATTACCAAGCAAAACCCAAATGATTCTGAAGCAGTCCAAATGCACAACCAGATAGTTAACATCCATTTCCTTGTTCAAATGCCCCATATGCTAGACTCTGATTAGCTCTCTTGGCACCAGCACACATACCAATCTAAGCTGGTTGCTTTCCGGCTTGTGGTGCTCTTTTATAAAGTGGAACTGAGACTCAAACAAAATGAAATGTCAGTTCAATGCCAAGACTATTTTGTTCTTCCAATTTTCAACATTATAGAAAATACATAGGCAGAGTTCAGATTTAACCTGGTACTGCTGAAGTGTTCCTGGGATCCCTTCAGTAATACACAGAGGGCATATTTCAGTACTCTCTTGTTCATTTCTTCTAAATTGGGCACACTTTTATATTAGCCAGGAAAAGAGGGAATGGAGAGCATTTAGTGTTATGAATAAATAAACCTGTGCATCCCTGGCTGTAATGAAATGCACTGTTGAAAATAAATATAGCCAATGGCTTCTAGGGTACAGATGTTCTTTCCTGGATCAAGACGCAAGTCTCATTCCTTTCTAAGGGAGAACGTGAGGTGAAGAATTGGGTTTGGAGTGTCATCCATCACACTGCATGGATGAGCTGCCAGTGCATGCTGGGAGCCAAGTTTGTGATCTAGACTTCAACCTTTCGTAGGCATTCCCACCTCACCTTCTACGTTGTTCCCATCCATTCCCCATTCCCCAGGAACACAGGAGCTCTTCATTCATTAGATTAATGGCATCTTTCCTTTGGTCCCTTCTCTCTCAAGGCTGCTTGAATAAAGGAAATGAATATACATTGTGTTAACTTATATTTTCCTAAGATTCACGCAATGTAAGGAGAGACCTGGGTAATATTTTAGTAAGTACTTTATCATCTTCTCAAGGAAAATAAACTTTTAAAGTCATGCATTCTTCTGGTTCATTCTGTTGACCTATGTTGATTCATAACACTGTTTAAGATAAACAGATCCACTATGTGTACTCTAAATAGCCAACACTCTTGTTTTATTGACTATTTTTGTAAAATACTTGACTTTATATTAAAACTTTAATATTTGGATTGAAGGCTCATAGAATTATAGGTGTTCTAATTTGAGGTTGACAGATTATTTTCTTATTTAGAAGAAAAAATATGGTTTCTGAGAATACAAAAATTACTCTAAATATTTTTTTAATTAATTTTCATGATTTAGAGAATGTTCTCATAAAAATATTGTGTCATTTAAAAGCATTCAATGAATGCTGTTATTATGTTATTTACTACCATTCATATAGCTTTTTATGACATATTGCTGACCTAACAAATAAAAAAAGTCACTTTAATTAAAATTCCTTATAGTGCAAAAAGGGTCAAGTAATTAGTTTTCTTTAAGAACTCCCTATGTCAGATGCAAAGTTACATTTAGCCTGATGTTGTTGTTTTTTTTTTGTATCCATATGCAACTAACTGTAACCCAGATATCAAAGAAAGCAAACAAAATCTAATCATTAGTCTATTACTTGATATCTAATGACATCTTTAAGAAATCAAACATTTATTCCCTAAGCACCACTATAAAGACCTTTCTTAAGCAAGGTTGAAATCCTTATCATTTGCTTCTAAAGACAATCTGATTAGATTACGAGATATAAAAACATGATGTGTTCATTATATGTTTATTCAATGTGGCCTCCGCTATGTACTACAAGGACATTTTTTTTTTCCTGAAATGGATCTTGTTTGTGTCTCTCTAGTACTTGCCACAACAAAACACTTAGATAAAAGTGTACATTTAGAAAATCAGCAAGCAGGCAGCAAAAATTTTTTATGTTCAGGTGCCTTATGTTTGTCAGCAATTCTCCTCATTTACACAGAAAAGTAATACATATATGCCATTTTTCTTAAATAGATACCTAAATATGTTTGATTCTGGTAGAAAAATAACAAAAGAGCTTAACTTAGCATTTGAAAACCAATATAAAAATTCATTTCTATGCATAATGTGACAGATATTTGCCATGTGTATCACCTTAGATATTTTCTTAAAAATCTTGGTAAACACATCAGTTTCCTGCATACAAATGCCAGGGTGGATCATACTTACATAATATAAATAGTAATTTCCTCTGGGCAAAAGGAAAAAAAAGAATATTGATTTTATTAATTTTATAACTTGTATTCATCCCAGAGGAATATTAGGTTTTGATGTCTTAACAATTATCACCTCATAAACATCATAAATGCCACCATGATAATAGCATTGACTGAGACTTTCATGCAGATTTCCAAAATTCTTTCAGGCTCAAAAATTTAGAGCAAGAGTCCTGGTTTGAAATGTCCCTTGGAAATAGTGACTTCCTTGTACCCACTGCCAATACCTGCTGATATTGAAAGTGCTTAGAGACATGTTTTTCCTTCCTTATCAGTGGTAGCTGAGCATCCTGTAGAAAATGTGTGGAAATTTGATATACTAAAAGAAACACCCCAATATACATGTTTAATGTGATATAATATCCTATCATAATATCATATATCATAATATGATAATATAATTTCAAACATGTTTATTATATCATATGCCCTATTAAATACACAAATTCTAGACTCAAACATCTTGGTTGTTTAGCTGTCTGACAATTATTTACTAACTAGGCTTTCCAGAAAAATCTCTAAATTGAAAGAACATGGGGTGATGAGGTGGAAAAATCAATTCTTACATAGGTTACACAAAAAAGGAACCTTTAAATGCCAGGTGTGGGCATGAATGGAAACAGAAATAATGATGACAGAACATGCAGACCAGGCTGCAGATGTTAATTTAAGACAATTAATGCAAAGTTAGACCAGCCGCAAAGCTCAGAAATTAATCTTATGGTTTACGGTGTAAAGATTATAAAGCTAAGGCTTAATGGTTTTCATAAAAATAAAAACAAAATTACCATGTCTTTGAGAGAGTCCCAGAAATATATTCAACTAATAGAATTAAGCAACAGAACACTATCTATATTTTCTAGGTGAAATCATGATTCAACAAAACCACCCAATATGCAAGAAAGCCATATTCAGATATGTTTAGTTTCAGATTAACAACAAAACAGTTATATTTACTAATGTAGAATGGTTACTCCACAGAAATGTCTCAAAAACTGCTGAATGGAGACAATATAAATGTTACAGACTTTATGCTATTTCCTACATATACTTATTAGATTTTATTTAAATAAACCTTTTTTTCAGAAAGTAATGTCTAATTTTTCTGCCCATGTTAATTAAAAACTTGGTCTGCTACAAAAAAATTAGAAAACTATTACATTTGTAATTTATTTGAATAGTATTATATCTATAAATTGTATGCACTGAATTAATGTAATATTACTTACTACTATCTTAGTACAATGTTACCATCTATCATAGAGGAACTTAATTTTTTGAGAGTTGGGGAGAATTTCGTTGTACCTATCCCTTATCTTTGAAAATAATGAAAATAAAGTGGCATATATTACAGGTAAGAGGCAATAAAATTATTCTAAAATATGAATAAATCATATGACAATATTAAATAAATATTAAATCATATGACAATATTATGCCAAACACTTTTAGTAGGTGCAACATATTTGCATTTGAAAGAAGTAACTCTTGATAATATTGTTAGAGGTATTTATTTCAATAGAATTTCCCCAGCATATAAGAACAGCATTTTCAATAAACATAAAAATTTTGTATTAAATATATTATTCTAAATTATATATCTGAAAGCCTAATGATAGCTAACTTAATAGTTGAATTTATTAAAAATAGGTTACCACATAATATCTGTTATTTTACACCTTAGACTTAAATCTTAAATTTAGCCTTAAATTTGCCATTCTAGATTCACATTCTTTTCTATTAAAATATCCGAGTAAACAGGTTTTATAATACTTAGAGTAGCATTCTGCTTTGTATTTGTCTTTACAAAAGCAAGCCCTGTACATGCTGGTAGTAGGTAGTCCGAAAACACAGAGATGAGAATTATTAATAACTTAAAGTGCAAACTGGGCATTACAATTCGTCAATTTTTTTGCCATGGTATATTTTATTGTCTAAAAATTGGGTATAGAACTCTTCATTTACATGTTTGTTTTTCCTTCTTAAAAAAAAGGGTTAAAATCTTACATTAGTGCTCTTTAGAAATATATATACATACATAACTGTTGTATAAATAAGCTGCTAAAGTGTATATATACACTTTATATATTTATATATAAGTATATATAATTATATATTTTTATTTATCATATATTCATAATATATTAAATATATAAATATATACAGTGTATATATATACACTTTAACAGCTTATTTATACAACAGTTACCTCAACTAAAATTCAAGCTCACATTTGCTGTTTTAAAATTTTCAGTTGCTTTGTATTATCCTTGTATTTTTAATAAACAGTATATATAAACACCTATAATTTATCCTTCAAAACATTTCCTTCCATTTTATGTATCATGAAATATTTTTATATATAATCTCAATAGAAAATACAATCAAGACCTAAAATTCTATTCTCAGTATAAATTAAAATTTTGAGTGCATTAAAGAGAAGTAAAAAGAGTGACATGATGGTAACTGCGTGCAAGTTACATGATTTCTTAGGGAGAAAAAACATCAAGTCTAGTTAGAGTTTAATATTACTGACAAAAGATTTTTATAAATTAAAGGAAAATTTCTCTAGAACAAGCTTTTAAATTCTACCATAAAAGAAGAAAAACACCCCCACTTTTGTTGTCACTTTTGTTGTAGAGAATTAGGGAATTCTCAATTTATATTGGTTAAATACTGAAGGCTTATTTGTATTTACAGGTTACATGAGCCCCTGTGGTGTCCAATGAAAGAATTCAAGTGGTCTGTAAAAATGAACACCCTGGAAAAAAATAAGTATATAAAATGAAGGAGTCAGATTCAGCAGAAATAGATCTATCACAAATATTTTGTCACAATGTATCCAACACTTTGCTGAGCCCCAGAGATTTAGAAATGAATAAAACTAATTTTGGAATTTGTTTACAGATGAGTGAAAATGATAGAAATCCTCCAGAAGGAAAAGAACTGGATTATGAAACAACGTGAGTATTAGAGCTGATTCTCTGCAAAATAATTAAAGAGGAATGTGTATCTCAAGGCCTGTGGCTTCTTTCAACAATTAGCTTTGTTTCTTCAGACTGCTTTTGTCCCCATCAACATGCTGCCTCCTGGTTGCTCAAGGTGAAATCTGCTCCTGAGCAATCTATGACCAGTAGTCTAACCAACCCCAAGCATGTCTGAGTAAACTACAAAAGACAAACATAGACAATAAAAGATGATTCGAGCAAAGTTTGAGGTCTTCCTTTATGCCAAAAACTTGTAGTAGGCAACACCTTCACTAAGCACCACCAGACATCACAACCATCACCACACGTGAATTATCAAACTTAAAGTGTCTGGGTGTGGTGGCTCACCCCTGTAATTCCAGCACTTTGGGAGGCCGAGGAAGGTGGATCACTTGAGGTCAGGAGTTTGAGACCGGCCTGGCCAACACAGTGAAACCCATCTCTAGTAAAAATACAAAAATAAGCCGGGAATGGTGGCAGGCACCTGTAATCCCAGCTACTCAGGAGGCTGAGGCAAGAACCTCTTGAACCTGGGAGGCAGAGGTTGCAGGGAGCCAAGGTCGTGTCACTGCAGTGCAGCCTGGGCCTGGATGACGGAGACAGACTCTGTCTCAGAAAATAAATAAATAAATAAATAAATAAATAAATAAATAAATAATAAACAACAATAACAACAACAACAAAACACCTTAAAGTGATTCTAAAAAAAAAAAAAAAAAAAGAAACTGAGGCCAAGTACAAGAAAATAATTTCTATGGTAGAAAATAGTACAGATGCCTTGAGAAACACAATAACTCAGGGTACGTTTTGAACTACAGCATAGAAAGTCTCTACTTCCCCTTATGCTTGAGTCACTCTAAAAGGAACACACATCTACAATACATTTTTATCTTTAAGCAAGAAATCAAAACAACTAACCTTGGCCTTGTGATGGCAAAGCATTTCCTATTCTACTTTTATTTGTTCCCCTCTTTTTAATCATAAATTGAATTTGGCTTCAGTTTAGCACAAGTATTTAAAATGCTTATAGCATATTGTATTACGCACACTTACAGTAAAACATTAACAACAAAAACTAGTGTTATCACAATGATTGCAAACTCAGAAATAATTATGATGGGAGAAAGAGCGGTGGTATGAGGAAGTGGTAGAAATATACTGTTTCAGAGTTAAAAATAAGAAAAATAAAAGTACCCGTTAAGCACCAAGGAGAACATAAAAAGGCATTAGAAAGAATTTGCTACCAAATATTGTGATAATTTGTTTGCTAAAAAGAAGTACCTCTGTGGCTGCTAATATCTGTGTAAGAATTTTTTATTAAAATAAAAAAGCAACTTTTTTTAAATGACAAAGCTAGAAAGTAACAAAAAATCATTAAAAAAGATACAGAATAGTAATCAAGATCAACAGTGTTGAGAATCACAAAAATAAAGATTGGCCTGTAACAGTATATACTCTGGCAGCAGACAATAAGAACACTGGTTTGAAGATGATAGACTTTCAAATACTTTGTGTAATCTTCCACCTTTTTTCTGTTTTGTAAGCATTTATATTTACAGTTATCATATTATTGCATGAGATTTTGTTATATACAGATATGTTCTGCATGGTTATGTATAGATGTCCATGACAGTTTATTTTCTATCAGAGATAATTTAACTTTTATATTATTAATTATTCCCTTTTAATACCATTTACAATTGATTTTGGTAGTTCCCTACTGATTTCCTGAATTTAGGAAATATAGGCCATCTTCAAGTAGGCACAGTTCTACAAATTATCTGCAGAAAGTATTTATACTCAATTTTAAAAACATCATCATCATATATGCTCTTTTAATTTATTAAGCTATAAAATTTGGGTTAAAGCATTTCCAGGCCAGAATCACTAGATATTTTGGAGAAGTAAAGGGAAATAAAATACCTTTCTTGCACAGAATCAATTTAGTTGTTCCCTTTGCAAAATTAATGCAAACTCATCAGTGAAAAGATAAACTAAATATGAATTAAAAACACATGGCAAAATTTTTGCAAAATTAATGCAAACTCATCAGTGAAAAGATAAAATAAATGTGAATTGAAAACATGGCACTAAGAAAATGACCAATCTTTTTTTATGTTACTAATCAGTTTTTATTATTTTTATTATTATTATAGTACTTTATATTCTGTGATAGCAGTAGGAGATATACCTAATGTAGATGTTGGGGTGATGGGTGCAGCAAACCATCATGGCACGTGTAAACCAACTGTTTTTAACAAACATATCAATACTGATCACTGTGACTAAACATGCAAGTTAAAGGATATTGCTTTCATTTTTGCAAACTGTTTATTTTTAAATAGCAACCTAATTCTAAGATGACAGTTTTCTAAGATACTCCAAAATATCTAAATCTCACATACACAAAATACTGCACATAGCAGCCTAGAATATTTAATCAAACTCTACAGAAAAATCACAAGAACTATCCTTTCAATTAAATTAAATAATGCTAGAAGAAGAAAACAAGATTAAACAAAAGCTCCCTTCACAACAGACCACAGTAGACTTGGCATTTAATTTACCTTTTCATGTCATTTTCACGGAAAAGTTAATAAGGATTAATCATCCTTCCAAACAAGTCTTCCCTCCATTGGCCTGAGAAAGTTACTCAACTGTCAATAAAGTCAAGACTCCCATCCAAGGCCCTGGAGGTCAGCCAAGTTCACTCTTCTGAGACCACAGGGAAAGGTTTGACCTTGATCAGACATGTGCAAATATCTGCTAAAGTGTTGGCATTCAAGTCAGGGCAAATCATGTCCAGCAAGGAAGAGTAACTCAAATTAGTGGTTCTATCGATGATCCTCCAAGTTTAGGTACATGGAAGAACTTCTTAGGTGAACTGCCATTTAATTTTTCAATAAGGTACTCAAAGATGTGTCCTGCATTTGGGACATCCCTCACTGGAGACCATATTGTCCCTTCAGAGAGGGAGCTGGCAGGGGGAGAAGGGGGAGGCTGGGCAGAAAAGAAAGGAAGAAAGATAGGAGGAGTGACAAAGGAGAATGAAACTCTATCTTTATTTATCCTGATTTGTCCTTCTCTAGTTTTCACACTGCTCTCACTATCTGCTGCTTGTAGAATATCATCACCATTTCTTGAGCATTTATTAAATGCCAGAAGGCTCAAGTGATTTACATAGATTATCATATTCATTCCTTATACTTACCCTACAAGATTAATATTACCCCAAGTTTACCAGATAGAAAAGTAAATTTTGTAGCGGTAAAATGATCTTTCCCAAACTGTATAGAGATCATGGAAGTGGGAGGACTGAGATTCAAACTTGAGCCTATATGTTTTCAAAGGCTGCTCTCTCACCCACTGCACTAATATCAACTACTGAGGAAGACAGTCTTAAGCAGTTTTTGCATGTTTCAAGCATCATAGCCATTTGATTGCATTTTCCATTCTATCTATATTACTACAAGTAGCTGAAGCTTTAGTGCTTCACAATAAACAAAGTTCAAAGATTACTCTGATTCAATAAGAAATGTTTGTGTTAAACTCAATGTACTATTTATTTAAGAAGGCAAGAAAGAAAGTAATTCAAAAAGATTTCCAGCAATAGTATTTAAAATAAATATATCCAGGCAGAGGAGGTTAACCTTTAGTTATCTAGGAATTTACTCACCTTATTACAATCATTCCTTCCGAAAGGATTTAGGAGGCTAAAGATGTACTCTAATTAATATCTATTTTTCATAAGCAATTAGCGTTTTTGTTTAAATTAATATTTGGTTATTCTTTGGATAGAAATATCAACATAAACATAAAGAATTCCCTGGACTATTATTTGGGTAACATATATGAGGTATAGTAAAAATGTATAAAAATTAGATCCTCGTACATGTATATCACTAGATATACATGTGTTTACAAACACACTAAATATATTTGGAATAATTCAGCAATAAAGTTAAGCCACTCAGCTTTATAATATTTATATTTATAAATTTACTAAGCAGATTATTTACTTCCTGTGTAGATTTCAAGGTATCAGCCATAAAAGAACTTCTATTGGGAATGTAGTTCCGTTTGGATCATAAAGTTTAACATCTACTTAATTACTTTTAAAAGCTTTATTTATAATATTATAATTTTAAAAATACCTTTTGAGACTGTTAGCATTTTTGCTTAATTTTATTTTTCCCTTATATAATTTATGTGATTAAATGTTTATCGTTTATACTTTTCAATACTAAAAAGTAGGGTTTTTTTGAATTAAAATTAAAACTATCTGGGAGGCTAAAGTTCATGTAACCTATATTTGTTACAAAGGACTCAGAATAACAAAGCTATGATTTTGTACAGAATGTATGTGTCTTTGCAATTTCAGAAGTCTCTCCTCCATTGGTTTATACTCACAGCTAGGGACAAACGTGAATATTATGGCTCTCAAAGCAAGACTTTTTCATGGAGGGTCCTTGTCTTTGTAATTGCCTCCTACTCCAGCTCTGTAATGGTCTGTTGAAACACAGGACTCCAGGCAAGTTTATTTTCATGTGAAAAGGAACATAGTTATATGACAGCTTCCATTGCTGTAGAATAATGTAGTTGCATGCTGCACTATTTTCTGTAGACTTTCATATGTGACTGGATAGACTCGTTATCAGAATTTTTAAAAAACCAAAAAGTTTTAAAATAATTTTTAAATAACCAAAAAATCACCTAAATAAAAATGTGTTGAAGGCAAATTTTAATAACTTTTAAGATAGTTAGAAATGGTCACAAGGCTATAAAAATAAATTTTATGGTTGACATTTGCATTGCACAGTAAGATTACCAAGAGTTTAAAATCCTTAGTAGCATCATTTACATCTTCAAATTACATTTATTATTCATCCTCTTATAACCAGATGCAATTCTAAGATTTCTTTAGGATACAAGTACAGTCTATATGCTAGAGGACATTGTTTAGTAAAGTAGATAAACAGAAGAAGGGATAGTCATGTAAAAGGGTTAGGCTCAAACCAGGATTTATATTATAATCAGTGGTAGTAAGCTGAGACTTGATTGAATCTGCATTTCTCACTCATCAGATTATTTGCAACTTTTCCAATTAGATAATTGCATTTAATAGAAATGGTACCCATGGTTGTGAGCATGTCAAGTGCCCAAAGAAGCACAAAGGATTTAGGTTACCTTGGCATTAGTCCTTGTTTATGCTCAATGTAGAATGTTGAGCAGAAACATGCCTTATAGTACAGTACAGAGAGCTGAGAAAATCAAATGAAAAAATGATGTGAAATAGTTTTGAAAAGAAAAGATTAACACTTATGTTTAGTATTATTAATTTGACAAAAAAGCTACTTAAACACAAAAGTACTTCTTTTTTTCATTTACTAAGATAAACAACATATATTCTATACAATTCTCCCAAGATTATTTTTACAAAGTTAATAAGATCAATAAAGTTCATACTGGTTAGAAACAAGAATATTAAATTATGCTTTACATCTAAATATTTGCCTTTGTATTCTACATCTACAAGTGGCATATTATTTTAAAAGGTAAAATTAGTTTTCTCCTATTTGTTTTATAAAAATTATCTTATGATGGTAAATAATTATTTTAGACAGTAAAGAACAAAATGATACTTGTATAAGCAAATTCAGAAGATGAGTTAATAATGGATTCAGGATGGTAGTATTCAATAAGTTGACATATGGGATGAACCTACCATGCTCTTCCACAAAATAACCCTGGTTACCTCTCTAAGAAACAGAAGTGTAACTTTATTGATTAAGGTTTAGATTCCAAACAGGTAGGCAACTCAAACACCAACTCTGTTTCTAAAGAATTTCTGAAGCTGGCAGCATTATAGCTGGACTTAGAATGATTCTTGAGAGTAAGTTTATGAAACAGGATGTTATTCCATTTGCCCAGAATGTGAAGTTGATAAAGAAAATATGTGCTATAGAGGAAAAACAGGTAACACCTAAGCAATAAAAGATAATATCAGTTTTGAGATTTGATGTAAATTTAGAAAAAAAATGAAGAATGCTTGGAGTCTTTAAAGAAGTCAGTGACATGACAGATTTGCATTTGTGAAGTTAATATGGCATTTATCTTGTAAGATGCATTGGAAACAAAAGACTTTTTGAGATATAAAATGATTTAGAAAGTACTACAATATGACAAGAGAGATCATGGAATCTTGAAATAAGATAGAAAGAATGTGAATGAACAAGAATCAAACTATAAGAAAATCGCAAAATAAATATAACATTTCCCATCATGAATGCCATCAAAAAATATTTAAGGTGCCTACTACAGTGGACAGGGCACTCAGAAAATACAATGAAATATATGTTTGTAGGTAAAACAGTTTCTGACCTTTATATTGATGATACACTAAAAATTACAGAGCTTTCTAGCTTCCTCGCTCTGTAATTTTTAAAATGTCTCCCAAAGAAATTTTTATTTAATAGATATATATTTTATATGATAGTCATATATACATATATAAATGTCTATTACATTTATATTTGTCTATTATAGAAAATGTATGTATTTAATAGACATGTATATATGTATACATATCTGAATATATGTATATATGTCTATCATAAAATGTCTATTATATGTATATGCCTATTATATAAAGTCTATCATATATAATAGACATTTATATTATATATAATAGGCATACATATGTCTATTATATAAAAATTTATATAGAGAATAAAAAAATTTTCTTGTTTTACTTAATTCACTGATTGATTTTGAAATGGCTAATAACTGATAAAGTAACATAAGACCTTTTGGTTATACTAATGATATTTGAAATTTTTTCATTTTTAGACTGGATGAATATACTATGGAAAGATACATTAGTAAAGTTGTTGTTTCTTAGTTTGACTTTTATTAACAATTCAGATTCTAATTTCTTGAAATTCAAAATTGTTATACTAAAAATTTTAAGGCAAGACTCTTTTTTAAATATTTAGAAATTTAAAAATTTGTTAAAGGAGAAAATTTTTTAAAGGAGAAAGTCTGCATACAGCTAGATGTTTTTATGTGAACACAAGTAAGTAGCTGTAGTGATATCTTTCCACATAGTATTCCCTCAGAAAGTATTTTCTTCAATACATTTGAAGTTTAATCTAGTCACATTCTGCCAACAGATCAAACTTAAGATTTCAAAATATACACTACATGTTTTCATATGTATTATGATCACACTTACCAAAATTGGCTTCATTTAAGAAGACAGAACACTTGTACAGTTGGCTCTTGAACAACATGGGTTTGCACCTGCACAGATCCTCTTACATGTAGACTTTCTTTCACCTCTGTCACCCCTGAGACAGCAAGACCAACCCCTCCTCTTCCTCCTCCTTTTCAGCTTACTCAGTATGAAGATGACAAGGATGAGAACCTTTACAATGATCCACTATCTACTTAAATAGTAAATATATTTTCTCTTTCTTATAATTTTAATAACAGTTTCTTTTCTCTAGTTTGCTTATATATATATATATATATATATACACATATATATATATATATAAAATAGGTATATAAAGATAAAGATTGGCAGAATTATATTGGTAACATATAATACACAAAATATGTGTTAATCTACTGTTCATGTTATTGTTAAGTCTTCTGGTCAACAATAGGTAAATAGTAGTTACATTTTAGAGGAGTCAAAAGTTATACATGAATTTTCAACTGTGTGGGGGTCAGCACCCCTATCCCCTGCATTGTTCAAGGGTCAACTGCATATGGATTTCTGACACAGGTAGAATTTGATTAAATCTAATCCCTAAAATAAAGTAGTAAATATTTATTTATTGACATGAAATTTCTTTTAGTAGTTTCTTTCCTCACTGTTTATACATTCAATGCAATCTTCTTTGTTAAATAATTTGCACACTAAAAAAGGAAGTGGAGTGAATACATTTACATCACCATTGTCATATTTTACACTCAGGTGAACTGAATAATTCAAAGAACATATAAAAATGCACTTTATCTTTAGAATTATATTCATTTAGAAACTCTTCAAAGTAGAAAAATTAGAGAATTTAAAAATAAATATATTGTGCTGACTGGTAAAGACTGAACCAAACACTTTCTTTACAAAGGTTGGGAAAAGTGTGTTTTAAGAGTCATCAATATTTTCTGCTTCTAGGATAAAGATTGGCAGAATTATACTGGTAACCAACTAATCCCTTGTTGTTCGAGGAACCACTTTAGAAGGGCCTATTTTTCTCTTAGAGCTCTATATATACTTCTTTTGGGGAAGGTCTGAATACCATGAGGTAAATCAAGTGCAGATGTTTCAGACCGAAATGGAATGTGTTCTGTTTGGTAATGTAATTGGCACATCTTTCAGGACAATCCAGCCCCTGTACATTATGTTAAATATATTCCTCCTAAATCTTAAAAGTCTAGATTTAAGTAGCCTCATTCCTGAGACATATTTTTTTGTAACATTTTGGGGAATATGGATGAGACTATTGCAGGAGGGAGAGAGAGTATAATCATGAGGCTCCATTCCCTCACCCTACAGAATGAATGGAATGAACAGTGTTGTATTGGCAGAGTGTAACATACATCGGAGTGCTATTGTCCCATACACATGTTCCTTTAATCTGAACAAATCAAGAGTTTGGGAAATGTTACTTTGCACCAAGAGGATCACATTGGATCCATGGTACCAGATCATATGCTGAAGGAGCTGTGAGGTAGGAAATTCCCCTGAAAGGAATAATATGATGAAGAAGTTAATCTGGTGGAGAAGTGCAGTGGGGTTTATATAGCGCAAGGAGGCACCTTAACTTCTTCCCAGTGTCTGGTAGAAAATGAGATGACAGTTTGGTCAACTCTCCAAGGCAAGTAGACATTTGAAATACTTACATTAGGGAGAAAGCCGACTCCTGCCTGGTGTCTTTGCTAGACATACAGGCACAGTGAGCAACTTGAATTCAGGTTGGGCATCTGGCTCTTGAGATGAACCTTTGCCATTTCAGTTGATGTTACACTCAGTTATTCTTTCTTATATTTTCAAAAAGGCTTTGATACAGTCTCACTTCTGTCTGTGACCTGATCTTAATTTTGCTGTGAAGAAGTAGGAAAGTGTCCCAAGTTTTTACAGAAGTGTTCAAAGAGAGAGCCTCACTCATTCCATCCCCATGCCACAGCTGTGCACAAGAGAATAGCGTTCTTCTGGGGGTCATTGTTAGTGGACGCAGTATTGTAACAAAATAAGAAAGAAATGTAAATGCTTGTTTTAACACACATGAAGCAGAACACTAGAAACCTCTTAAAACCAGCTTAAACGTGACTTGAGGAGACATGACTTCTAGCAATTAGCCTAATGATAATTTGAATGTAAAAAAATAGGTGTGTTGTATTTTGTATTCAGCCTTGGCGGGTGGATCCAAGATGCACATATTAAGCAAATACTGAAGTAGTTTACTGTAATATTCATAAATAGTATGGTAAAATAGAAATATTGAATATTACATCTCTTCTATTAAATTTTTGTATTGTTTGTTGCATTTTTTAAAGTATTAAAGCTTATTTTTTTTTGTTTTTCCCATAAAAGAAAATAATGGAAGACTAAAATGTGCTAAAATCAGAAAGACAAGGATAATGGCTCTCCAAGTCAACTTCATAGGGTTTACAGGAAGAGTGTTTAGATAATGTAGATGAAAAGGTACTTTACACTTTAAAACATCATACAAATATTAGATAGTCCTATTATTCCAAATTCCAATTTTAAAATGTTTTACACAAAAATGTAAAGTATGATGCCTTATATTTTTCCTGTGACATTTATAATTTATCAAATCTCACTTAAAATTCAGATATTCAGCCTTTAAAAATATTTTTAAATGGAAAAATTGTGTGGGATAAAGGGGTAAAAGCATTTGCAAAAATCACTGATTTTTCTAATTATGTAAGTACCTAAGTACATCATTGGAAAGCATCCAGCTGAAGTTAAATTATTAAAATGAATGCTCTACATGGTACAATATAGGACAACACAATGTTTCAACAAATCTGAATCGAATTATTAAGATGTTTTTTGGAAATATTTGCTTCCTTTCATTTATGATTAAAACTATGTTTTCAGTGAAAAAATATATATTTTCTGCTCTCAGAACATGTGTTTTGATCTTTTACAATTCTCAATAATTTATCATTATAAGATACTTAATAGAACCAAAAAGCACAATTAAAGAAAGAAGCCCTGCCTGATGGTTCACTGTCTTATCCTTCATGCCTCAGTTTTCACTTGTCTAGTTCATTGTGCTTAAAAACATGTGTCGCATATTAGCAGGTGAAAAAAGGAATATTATTTCATCAGGAGCAGGCAAAATAATCAAGGATGAAAACTGATGGAATTCTCAAAAAGCTGGTAGGAGCAGCTGCCCTATCAAACATATTTTTTAGTGAATTTGATGTCTTAGTGAGAGAAGGTACAGCCCCATTGCAAGCATAGCAGCTTATAAAGCTTCACTGCCCCTTTCCTCATATCTACTAGTTTTGTTTAAAAAGTATCATTACACAGAACCAAAATGAAAATTACAGAGACCACAGATAGATATTCTAATTCAAGTATGTGAAAAGTAAATTATTAAAGTGCTACTAAAAGTGTTGTCTTGAAAAAGAGATGGGAAATATCATTGTTGAGTATATGGCACTCAACTTGATGTTTTACATATATTACATCATTTAATCATCAGAAGAACATTCAAGGATAGATATAATGGGAATTATGGGCTCAGAGAAGAAACTTGCACCCAAACAGCTGCTAAAATCTCAAACTGGCCGGGCACGGTGGCTCACACCTGTAATGCCAGCACTTTGGGAGGCCGAGGCAGGCGGATCACTTGAGATCAGAAATTCAAGACCAGCCTGGCCAACATGAAGAAACCCCATATCTACTAAAAAAAACTACAAAAATTAGCCAGGCCTGGTGGTGCATGCCTGTAATCCCAGCTACTCAGGAGGCTCAAGCAGGAGAATCACTTGAATTCAGGAGGCAGAGGTTGCAGTGAGCTAAGATCAGGCCACTGCATTCCAGCTTGGGCAACAGAGTGAGACTCCGTCTCAGAAAACAAACAAACAAAAACTCAAACTGTGTGATGCCGTGTCCATTATGACAGAACTGTCATCTGTCATCCTGGAGAATAAGCCACCATGAGTCAAGTAAAAATCAGGATAAAAGCTCCCCTAAAGTTTTTTTTTTAGGGAATGATAGCAGATCTAAATTATTTTATTTTCTGACTATTTCTGAGAGCTAACTTGGAAGGGGCATGAGAGAATACAATAGATTTCCCCCCTTTTCACAGACATGCACTGAGCCAAAATTAAAATAAGGACAGGCATAAAGCTTTGCCATTGTTTTCTGCAGTTCTGTCAGGTTAGTGGGGATAATAACCACTAATTCAAGGTAATGTTTCTTGACCACTATCTATACTACAACTAATTTAAACCATCCTTTTATAAGGATGACCCCCACATATTTTTTCTAGCTCAGATAAATCTAATGTTCTCTGATTTTTAATATCTATCTACCCACTGGACACCTTCACTCGGTGCCCCAGGCATGCTGGAAACTACATGACCCAAAAATTAAACTCTAATCTTTGTCCAAAATATTTTTGTCTTGAATTCCTTATATTGTGAAATATTTCTATAACCCCTTCCCAAATTCCAAACACCCAAGTCCAATTACTCCCTCTTGCATGCCTAATGATTTCCCTTCTAGTCCTCAAGTTCAGCAGATTTTTCCTCCAGTGTATCCTCTTTTTTTTCTGTATTTTTATTGATATATAATAGTTGCCCACATTCTGGGAGTGCATGTAATATTTTGATATGCATACACAATGTGTAATGACCAAATCATAGTAATTGGGATATCCATCATCTCATAATTCTTCTTTTCTAGCTATTTTGAAATCTATAATAAATTATTGTTAATTATAACTTCCCTACTATACAATCAAATACTGGAACTTATTCCTTCTATCTAATTGTATTTTTATATCCCTTAACCAACTTCTTTTCATCCCCCCCTTCTCTCTTCCCCTCCCAGTCTTTGGTAACCACTATTACATTCTCTGCCTCCATGAGATCTACTTTTTTAGCTCCCAATTCTGTAAATTTCCTCATGATTTTTCTTGGACTGGAATCCTTTTAAGCCCATTACAAACTCTATACATGCTCTAAGACCAGCTGAATGTCACCTTTCTTAAATGAACTTCCTTGACCTTCATCTTTGGACAAGTTATCTCAAACATCAAACACATAGCTTCCTAAGAGACTTTTTTTATATTCTTTAACAAAAGAATACACTAAATATATTGAAACTTCATATGAAAAAATCTGCTGCTGGGGTCTATGTTTGCTATCTTTTGTCTCATTACTTAGGCCAGTGCCTGGCCCATAGCTGAGGTCCTCAATGAATAACCAATAAAGGCATGTATAACCAAGCCTAATTTATCTCTCATTCTCTCTAGCATAGACATTAGCCTTTTACATTTATTTTCCCAAGTCTATATTCTTCAAAACATTAACTGTGGTAGGATTTTTGCTAGCACAGTGATGATGAGAAATGAATAGAAATGGCAAGTTTGGAACTGTTAGCAATAATGTGATTTAAAATGAAGTTGACAAATAGTGAGATTTCATGAGGTATTTTTTCCATTTATGATTTTGTTTTTTTTCTTTGCTTTGAAAGGAAAAAAAATTTACTGATACAAAGGGCATCAAGTTACCTTAAAGAATTTAGAGCAGCTGAATTACTTAAATTATGTCTTCTGAAATATTTGCCAATAATCAGTGTGCAGTTTTAACAGTATATATTGTTGTTTAATTATCAATTTTTTTTAAATGTCCAGTTTCTAATTATCTACAATGTGCTTCCAAATGATAACCAAACCAAGTTGTAAGATGGCAAGACTGGAATAAATATTGTCAAGATGGTGAAAATGCTATACTGGCATTGGAAACAATAATACACGATCTTTAACTTTTTTAAGACTGAATATACTTAAGAGCCACTCACAGATCACTAACCCTAAAAACCTAAAATATATTTTTACTACAAATAAAAGTAACTACAAAATTGCCCATTAATTGGTTAATTTATAAAATCCAATTCTTATCATATGTTATAAAATTATAAAAAATATTTTCAAGATAAAATCCACTGCAGACTAGTAAAGGAAAATAAACTTAGAATATTAGAACAATCTACCACAGTCTCTTGACACTCGTCTGATGGAGGCGAGTGATGCTCTTCCACAAATTGTTTATTGTTGGCAATACTGGAGAGGGGTATTGGGTTCTAAGGACTACAGTTCTACTCTAAAAACTAATTCCTAACCATTTGTTTAATATCACATCGAATCAGCTGACCTATTCCTCTGCTATGAAGCTTCATCAAGTTGGAAAAATCTTCTAGAATTTGTGCTTTGTCCATATACCCTTTGCCCATTACCAAATTATCAATCTGATTTAGCTGACTCTGCTATAGGATCTCAAAAACTGTGGACTTTCTTCTATCATCATATCACCCCACAACTTGTATTTGTATTTATCTATCTACTGCAGAGCCTTTCACACTGAACTATGAAGTAAGTAAAACCAGCAGTTGTATTCAAAGCATATGGATGTGTGGGGGTGTGTGTGACAGCTAAATCAGATTGATTATTTGGTGGAAAAGGGAAAGAGACTCAAGGAAATCACAAATATGTGTAATTTACAAAGAAGGAATTTCTCTTTCATTGCTATTAAAATTATAAGGCAGTTAAGGATGGAGGTATTAAATAATAAATATTTGAAAAGCATTATGTTCCCAACCTTCTTGGGAGTAGCTGATTGTAAATATAGTGAAGTCCCTGTCTTTTAGATACTTACAGTTAAATAAATCTGTCACATATAATTGTAATCTCCAAATAACTTAAATACCTATGGTCAACCTAAGGAGCATTAAAATTTAAATGAGAGGTTGCAATTAATCATTCAATGAATTGAAGGCATATAGAGTAGGAATACTTATGTGGGGAATTTTAGGACTGGAAACATAGGTTGTTACAAGATTATAGAGAGCTTCAGTCCTGGACCGTGTCAAAGTTGGATTTTATTCTGTAGATAACTGAATAATATGGAAGATTTTGAAAAAATAACTTAGACTATAACTTATTAAATACACTTAGCTATATTTACTTAAACTATATTTTAACTCTGGTATAAAAAAAAACTGGAGAAGAGGCTGCAGGTAGTGAAATAATCATTAAAATACTTAAATACTAATTCTGACAAAAATGTGATGGCATAAACTAAATGAGTATGAAAATAGGGATCAGAAGACACAGCAAGTATTTTAAGAGAATGACTGACTGGATGTTAGGGGTCATCTAGACAGAGGAAGTAAAAATTAGTATAATACCTCCTCTTGGTAACCAAAAGGAAGGTGGAGATAATGAACGAGATAAAGAATACAGAAATAGCAAAGAGTCATAAATATACGGTGATCTGTTTTATTTTTACCATATCTGGTTTGAGGTGAATTGACATACAGAAAAAGAAAAAAAATCACATTTGGCACTCAAAAGAGAGGTCATCAGGGACAGGAAGATTTTAGACAACTGCAATGTGCAAAATATAATGGTTGAAGACACAAAGTAGACAATATCACTTGGGACAGAACATAGAATGACTTCACATGAAAGAAGAAATGTTTTTGAAGAAAATTGTCTGAAAACTAGCAGTCAACATAGAAAAAAAAAAAAGAAGCAAAGGGGAGGAACAAAGCCAATGGAAAGAAGTTTTAAATCTGGACAATTCAACCCTAAACTATTTCCAAATTCCCACCATACACCCACCCCTACCACATTCCCAGGTGTTATAACCACACTATTTCCAAAACACGCTGTACTTGTTCCCAATTCTGTGTTCCCTTGTATAGTACAAGGGAACTTAATATACCTAGAGTTCTCACTCTCCGCTAATTCTTTCAAATACCACTTCCTCTGTGAAAGTTTCTCCACTCTTTGCCCCACATTGTCTTACTTGTCACACAGTTGTGTTAGAGCACTCAGCTCCCTGTATGGTAGTTGGTTTTGTGTATGTCTCCTCCATTTAAATGGAAACTCCAGGTTGGCATATGCGGGCCTTAGCCATCTTCTAAACCCGAAGGCCTACCACCTAGTCAACACCTAAAGAATGTTTATTGAATGTGGAAAGCTCAAGTGGACAGTAATGATACAGCCTTCTGCATGGTTGAGTAGAATGAGAGCAGAGATTAAGAAGCTAGATTTGGCTATTTAGAAGGAAGAAATGACCTTTAGAAAAACAATTGCACTTTAGTGCTGTGGGTAGAAGCCAGATAATAAAGGACTCAGGAAGAAGTGGGTGGTAATTAGAGAAGAAAAACTGAAGATCACTGTGTCTACAATTTGCTACCGAAGGGCAGTTGAGGTATGAGAGAGTAACTTTAAGAAAACCAAAAGTTTCCTGCAGTTCAGCCAATGAATAAGGGAAGGAATTTTAAAACAGGGAAATCTTGATCAAATTTATAAGCTGAGAGAATATACATAAGCAGTGAAATAATAGGCATGATTGTGTAATGTTAGGGAGAGATAAAGAAGGCATTGGTGCTAAATGAACAGGTAGCTGAAGGAAAACAGGAACAATTCCTTCTCAGATGAGAAGTTAGTAAAAAGAAAGAAAGTATCTCAGTAGAAATTTTCTGTCATAGATGGGAAAAACTAAGAGACTTCTATTCTTATAGAGCGGCTTCTGTGAATAAGGGGTGCGTATGTTGCTGAACATGAGTAGGAGTTAGAAAAGCAAATATTTAAAAATGGGATGGACAAGAAAAGAAGGCTACATGATTGTATTATCTAGAAATAAAAGAAAACCCCACTTTATTAAACTGTAACACAAGTATTTGAAAGTTCTGTGGTTAAGTAGCAAAATAATAAGCCTCACATCTCTTTTGTGCATAATAGGTGTTTAGTTAACAAAACATCTCAGTTAATAGAGAGCTGTATAAACCATGAACTAGTTTAATAACCCAGAGATATTTTTTAAAAATTGCCCTTAACAACAAAACCATATAAATCTTCACTTTATCTTTGCAATAAACAAAACTTCAGGATCTTACGCTGATTGAGAGTCAAATTTATCACCTGTTATTTTCGTGGTACTTGAATGGTCTAACAATAAAAGCCAAAAAATTTAAAGTCAGTAGAAATCTGGAAAGAATAATTAACAGTGCATGTTATGAACATGTTTATTATAATCAGTTTTTATTATTTTCAAATATTAGACTATATTCATTCCAAAGCCAACTTTCTAAGCATTTAAAACTACCTTTTGTAGAAAAATGTGGGTTAAATATATAGAGAATGAAACACCTAAAAGAGAGTTTTTTTTTAAACAGCTTTAAAAAACAGTGATGTGAAGTAAAAATAATTTAGGTACTGTATAGAAATATTTATTCAAACTTCAATGACATAAATATTTTTACTTACTCTAATCCATTGTAAAGTACCACAAATTCACCAAATTATTTATCTTTTTAAAAATATCACCATTAAGAAGTCTCTGAAATACAGCAGAATGGTTAAGAGCCTGAGGTTTGGCATTAAACCGACCTGTTTGAATACTCAATTCACTATTTACAAGCTAAGTGATCTTGGCCAGGTGCTTACCATATCCCACACCTGTTACCTCTTTTGTGCAATGCGAATAACAGCAGCAATCTCACAGGTTTGTTATGAGGATAAAACAATCTGCTGTGTGTAAAACATTAATAAGAAATGTAGCATAGGGTAAGCTCTTAATAAATGGCAGCTATTATCAATAATAACTTCTTATAGTTCAATAATTTTCCTTTGGCATGTTTCTTCTATAATTGAACATTTAAAAAAATAAAATACAAATGAACAGCTGTTCATTTTGTGAAACAATTTTTTAAAAATTACCAATATATCTCGGGAGGCTGAGGCAGGAGAATGGCGTGAACCTGGAAGGCGGAGCTTGCAGTGAGCCGAGATCGCGCCACTGCACTCCAGCCTGGGCGACAGAGCGAGACTCGGTCTCAAAAAAAAAAAAAAAAAAAAAAAAAAAAAAATTACCAATATATTACATAGTGCAATTGTTGTATTTCTTGACAAATCAACTTAAAAATATGTATAATATTAGTGAAATCTGCTAATAACCCTACGAAAACTCAATAAGATTACATGTTCATTATTTTAAAATTTTATAGAAAAAGATACCTTCGGATAATTTTCAAAATGTCATGTCTTTATGAGCATTTATGGAGATATAAAGATATTTGCAATTTAGAGACGCATCTGTGATATATATAATCACTAAAAATAAAAATGTAGTAATTCAAGAGAGCCTACTGACAAAATGTTAACATTAAAGATTGTAATAAATTACTGAAAACTTCAGTGTCTAAGTTCCATTCATAACATTGGTCTTATTGTCTTCTTTCTCCTTCATTACTAAGTAATTTATTTTGGTTTTCTTTCTTATATTAATACACAGTGTCCTTGTGGTTAGTTAGGAATTTATTACCCCATCATAAGACATTTTTGTCAAAATTCTCCACTCATAACCTATGTTTTTATTTGCATTTACCTCAATAGAAACAGATAAAAAAATTGAGTAATGCAATCAAAAAGATCAAATGCATAATGTTTTTCCACTTTATAGATTGACTCATGAAAATGTAATTGAAAAAGTAACATTTAATGAAACAATTCATATTTAAAATTTCTACAAACATTATAATTCTGAATTAAGTAAATATGCTTTATAAATTCTCTTTTTAGAGGGAAATAATGTACCCAATAGAAAGACTATTACATAAAATTTTAGATGAAATTTTTAAATTCTATATGTGCCTTTTTCCTGAGTATCATTGAAGTCCCTATTCCTCTGGATATAGGAGTTAGTCTGAAATATCTACATGTTTCATATGCAAATATGTCAAACTTGACATTGAAAGGAAGAGCCAAGAACTACTGAGCCAGATGTTTTCTGAAAATCAAGAGAGGCTTCACATGTGTGCTGCTTGCCATAAGGGGATAAGGTCCACTAACCTTCCCAACGACCCTATAATTACAACAGAGAAGTGGCTTGGCACTAGCTATACTTCCCGGCACAGCACACCTCTGCATAGCCCAGTTACTGTGTGAAAAGCTCATTTACTCTGAAGACTAACAGGACTTTTCTTTTGAGGCACTAGCATAAAAGTAAAAGGGGTTACCATAACAGAAGCAGTAAAATCCAAATATCAACCTCTGGTGGAGAAGGAAACCTAAAAACTACTTTGTTAATGGTAAAAGGAGTCTGAACAGCATATTTCCTTCAACTTTACTAACGTTTTTCTCTAATGTTTCCCAACTGTCAATATAAAAGTTAATCAGGAATTATGTGGAAATTAAATTTACTTGCAATTCACTATTTTAAAATCTTTTCTATGTAGCTGTAAGATCACTGAGTTATACCACAGCTCCATCACATATTATCTATTCAGTTTTGAGTGGTCACATATACCTATGGTTGATTTTGGGGGAAAAAAAAAAGTATTTAAATCAGTTTATTTAATAACAAAGCATCCTTCTTATGCGCAGGTACAATTTTTTTCAGCAAGCCTGCTTCAAGAACATACTCAGAACTAGGTATTTTGGTGGTACTATAGGTACTAAAACAGGAAGAATAAATAATCCACAACCTTACCCCTAAAAGCCTACAATCTAGTGGAGAATAGTGTCATAAAGTCCCATTAACAGAGAATTTCAAAGCTGTATTGATTGCCATGATAGTGATATATCCAGAGTTTGATGGACAGTTCTCAGAGGTCACCTAACCTAGCCAGGAGTAGATATAAAGGCAGAGGGCAATTAGGAGAAGGGATTTGAGTGATTTTTTTATTTCTTTATATATCCTGGTAGTGACACTCTAACACACATATCTTTTAAAATAATTCCACCTAGTATCCTCACAGCAACAAATTAGCATTTGTAAATATTTTAATTGGCTCTTTGGGTGTGTTGCAAAGAACAAAAAGTCACTTTAGTCACCTCTAACAATAATAAAAATCTTGTGTCTCTGAATGCATGTTGGGGTGGTCACAATCTGAAGGACACAGACACTAACACGAACTTCAGGAGCTTTGGCAGCTCTGTCCCTTTGTGTCTCTCAGGGCCTGGTTGGTCTCACATTGGGTCTCTATTCTTCCTGCAGAACCGGGCTCTTTTTCTTGTGATTTCTCCTTCTTTGTAATTTCAGCCATAACTTTGCTAATTCTGTTCCTACTGCTTATGGTTTCACTCTCTACGTTTACATAGATATACACAGCTCAAATTCTGGTGCCAGGTCACATATAGAAGCATGTGTTAGCTGTTCTTGGGTCAAGATTCCACCCAAATCTAGCAGTCAACTATGGACAGGGAAGTGGCCCAAACAACACCCGTCCACTGAGGTGACTGCGTCTGTCAGTAGATAGTTCCTCTGGAAGGCGGTATGGGCAGGCAAGTACAAAGTGAGTACTGTGATTCAAGGCGTCTCCTGATAAGGATAAAGGTACATTCTGCTTTTTCCTGTTTTAGCCTTTGTTCTTATTACTTTAACTTTTAAATTCTGACTCTTTCCAATTTTCTAAAATTTTACCTATGGCTTGCAGAATCAGATTGTTTTAGCTAAATCCTCAAACATCTTTGCCCCACTGCCTTTCATAACACAAATTTAACTTGCTCATACAAAGAAGGAAACTTTGACCTTGGCCTTATTAGTTCTGTGCATAGATCACCTAAGTCAATGCCTCTATCTAGTAACCAAATTACAGTTGGGTTTAAACTCCCTGTGATCATTTATGCTATAACTTTATAATTAAACTTTTGATGGTGGTATTTTTTTCATATAAAGAACTATTCAATCATTCATTAGATATCTACTGAACATATACTAGCTACCAGAAAATGTAAATTCTTAAGTTAGGTTATAGCAGAGTATAAACAAAATAATTCTTCACGAATCAGAAATGTATACAAAAGAAAATATTTGAAATATGACAGTTCCAGGAACTCAAACATATCCCTTTAATTAACACATTTTAAAGTAACTCTTTCTATAATACATTGATACACCCTAACCTTTTAATTGAGAATGCTGAAAATATTTAATAGCTTTCTAATGAAATAGGACAATCACTATGCACATTAATTGCCGTGCCATATTAAACCTATAATATTCAGTATATAAATCTATTGTAGTGTTTATGACATTGTACTCAATTGTTTTCTTTTTCTGCCTCCTTTCTAAAAATGTGAGCTTCTTAAAGACATTTTATGTTTCCTTCCAATGTTTGACAGAGAACTGGCCTTGACTGTTAAATGAATGAGGATAAAATATTCACTGGGGTAACTTTGAGGCATAAGTAATATGGTCATGTACATTTTCAATATGATTACAAGTGGAAGTTAAAGAGCATTACAATTGTGCAGAGCTGCCTAAACTTATGAAAATCTAGTAGTTTGAACTTCAGACATAGAGTGTTTTTTAGAGTATTTCCTATTGATCATCTTTAAAAACCAATGAAACAGTAAAAGGATGCCTCAGGTGGCAGAAGAGACTTTTTCATTAGTGGCTTTTGAAGTGCCTAGAGAAATAAGCTTATAATAGAATGCTGAGTACATCACCTTGCCAATTCTCAGGTGCACAGATAGCAGGTTAGACACATCTGTCTGGGCAGAGCATCATGATTAGTGCCACATTATGTGCAGTGAAGCATCTCAAAGACCAACAAAGCTAAATGCACACACTGATATTTCCCACCCATATATAATGCCATGAAGGAGCAAGGCCAAATATTGAATGGGGAGGATTATCCTTTGAGAATTTCCAGTGATTATCATCTCTAACCCTTTTATTATTTTCCCTCTAGAAATAATGCAGGGTTAGGAGGGGCTCCCTGGGATTTACCCTAAAGAAACCCAGCCAAAGCAAAAGCAGGAAAATATGCCACAAGAGTCCCATAAGATACTACCAGCTGGAAAAAAGCAAGGAACAGAGATCCTTTGGGTTAAAGTTTAGGACTGCCTTCTTAAAACTAGAAATTTGAGGAAGCTAAATACCACCACTTCAGCCCTCCAGCACCAAAAACTGCCCAGGGAATTTCTGTATAATTCTGACAAATCATTTGAAAACTTTCAGCTCAAATTTTCTCAACTGCCAAATGATAGGAATTTCTGAGTTGATTTGTGCTGTATCTTGAATTTACTCCCACTTCCAAGGTCTCCTCTTTTCTAAAGTACAAGTAGATATTCTTCTATTACCCTCTAGTCATGATACTGAAAAAAACTACACATGCATCCACCCATTCCCAATTACTCTACACCACAACCAAGCCTGAAGACAGACCAAATTCAGGTTCATCCAATATTTTTCATTTATTAACTTACTTATTACCTTACTGCCTTAGGTCAGCACTATGCTTGGTGCAGAAGCTTTACACTAATCTTCCCCAATCATAATTATTGCCACCATATCAGGAAGCAAGAAGCCATAACATAATAATGTTTTGTCTAGTATACTAAAACTTTGCACTATCTGTTTGGCTTTTGTGACAAGATAGAATTCCAAGAATGAAAACGAGCAAAGTGAAGGAGAGAATTAACATATATAGGCATAAAGATAATGCTCGGGAGGAAGTAAGCTCACGTCTCAGTGCTGAACTCTTTTTGGTAGTATAAGTCTTATAGGGGCAGAGGCTTTGTCTTCCTTGTTCGCTTCTATGTTCCAAGAGTCCAGAACAGTGCGGGACACATGCTGAGTCCACAACAAATTCTTGTTTATTAAATAAATCAATGAAAATAATTGAGATTCATCCAGGCCCGGATATGGCCATGTCCAATGACTAACTAGAAAAATATTTAGGCTTTTAGACCATAAATGTCCTGCAGTGTCTTCTTACTCCTCTAAAATTTTATCCCACCCTCAATTTCTAGTTCTCCCATGTCTGTGGATAGTGATAAAATGAATAGTATAATAAATTATGCATACCTAGAATGGCATTCAAATATAACTTAGAAGGATTTATGGGCTTAAGTCACCACCACCACCCCCCATCCTTTAGAACCAGGATATCACCTAAAATTTCTGTTTGCAAGTGCTATACGAAGCTCTCCCAAATGAGAACTATACCTTAAACAGTCAGCTGAAATCTTGCTGCACACCAGTTCCAAAAAGAAAAAATCTGATATTCTTGCAAATTTCATTCTGACTGGTTTCTAAAAAAGCTCTCAGGAAACATGCATCTCTGAGGATAACAGAGTAGGGAGAAGTTTGAGATCACAGTGATCTTGCTATAGCTGCCAATCTTTGCAGAAACTGTAGTCATGAGGTGAGCCTTAGGTGAGGCTGAGGCTCCATTAGGTCATCAGAGCAGGGAGCAGAGAAGAGAACAATAAAATTCTCCAAATAATAAGACTTACATGATTCTATGCCAAATGGCTTCCAAATTATTTAGTAATGCTTTCATTTTATAGGTGAAGAAGTAGAAATCAGAGAGATAAAGAAGCATACTCAAGGTTACTCAACTTATTAGTGGCAGATGGGTATTCTCTTGGAATCATAAATGCTTATAAAGGAAAACTGTATCCACAGCACATTAACACATCGCGCTACAGTCTGCTTTCAGTGTATATGCAGGCACATGCTATTCACTGTTGACTAGAAAGGTAAAATTGGGCCAAATAATATTTAATTCCCCACTGTAATAGTAGTTTTACATTCCACGTTAAGACAGCTGGCATAATTGAAGACAGCTCGGAACCCCTGAGGATATCCAAACTGTCACAATTGGAGAAAAGATTTAAGTATCCTGCAGTGTAGGACCTACTCAATGACATTACAAAGCTGTTTCAAATATCATCTTTGTTGGATCCTCAATATCCAATCTATGAACAATAGACATAATTAAACATAAAAAGCTGTAAATTAAGCAAACTAAATGATGGAGCAAATCATTTCATTTTTGCACCTGTGAAGTACAGTATGCCATTGTTATTTTCTCAAAGGAAAGAGAACAGGCTCTTGCATGGACAATTATCAAAAGGGTTCAGAGCAGTAGCAGCTATAATGGACAATAAATTTCTTTCCAAAGACTAAAAAGATATCAATGAATGTAGTTTTCAAGTCAAAGTGAGAATACACAGCTGCCACCACAGATTCTGTTTAATGTATTTCAATGTTACTAATTGAAATAAAAATTAAGGTCTCCTATTCTCCTGCTAGTAAAAAATGGAGAATGCAGAAAAACAATTTCAAGTTATAATTTTGTGCATCTTAGCAATAGAGCTTTTGGCTCAGTTTGTGCTTGATAGCTAATAGAAAATGATTTGTGCAATGAAGCATCCAGCCTAGAGAAAACTGTACAAAAGGAGGTGGTGTGATGGTTAAGAGCATGGGTCCTGGAGACAGAGGCTTGGGTGCAAATCCTACTTGGCTACTTTGTGAGTAGCTTCAGAAAAGTTATTTGACAACTCCATATCTTCTTATCTTCATTGGCAAAATGGGGATAATTATAGTTCTCACTTCACTGGATTGTTGTGAGAATTAAAAGGCACCAAACTATGTAAAGCACTCAAGACACTGACATTCCACGACCACTCAAACAAGTGTTAGTTTTTATTACTTTGGTACTGCATATGATGTTTTAACTTAAGTCAAAAAAGAGCAGATACCTAAGTTTCTCTTCTTACCCTAGCATTTTGATGGCTGATTCATACAGCATCAAGGAAATTTTATCCATAAAGTGGTTCTCTAAAAACTTAAACTAAAAGAAAAAAATTGCTGCATTAAAATCAGATAAAATTAAATAAAAATATATTATAATGTATACTGGAAAAATATTGGGAAGGTGAGTAAGGTCATTGTATATATATTGCCAGCAGAGACACACAATGTCATCTTGAGCCAGGATTGAACTAAAAGAGCCAAAGAAAGATCTGCCAATGAGCCCACCATGAACTAACATAAAACCACCTGCAAAATCCATTCAAGCATCTGTCTCCGTGAAATGCCAAGCCTTCTCCTCCCACCCTACCAGGCTGGCCCCATCTACCACAGAGAAATACTACATACAATCTTTTTTTTTTTTTTCAGTTCATCACTACTAACCCTCCTTTATTTGATCATCCAATGAGGCATTATGTGATATCCCACACAGAAACCCATTCTCTTTCATGCCACAATGTATGCTGTATGTGTTTCTTCTTCTAATTCAGTGCCTGACAAAAAGAATCATGATGATCCATGTGTTTGAGAATTGGACACTTTTAATATCCCCTAAATTAATCCTCAAGTTTTGTTCATATCCTGAGAGATGGTCAGGAACTCAAAACTTTGATGATATAAATGATAAACATAGCATCATACACTCAATAACCATCTGGCCTCTTCCAAGAGATCAAAATAAGGAAGGGAACATGGACTATCTATAAGGAGATGTTCAAACTATAAGTGTTCTCTGAGGCCATACAGAGGTAAGAAAAAAGCATGAGGAGAGAATATACTTCTACATATCCATACCTATAACTGAGGATAGTAATACTACCTACTTCATACGATTTTTGTACTTATTAAATGATTCAATAAATGTAAAGTGCTTTGACTAGTTCCTGGCAGATCCTAAGCACTCAACAAATGCTATACATGATGAGAGGATGATCATGATCATGATACAGTGATGATGATGACAATGATGATAAAAGAAACTGCAGCCCTCAGAAATAATGCCACATATCTACAACTATCTGATCTTTGGCAAACCTGACAAAAACGAGAAACGAGGAAAGGATTCCCTATTTAATAAATGGTGCTGGGAAAACTGGCTAGCCATATGTAGAAAGCTGAAACTGGACCCCTTCCTTACACCTTATACAAAAATTAATTCAAGATGGATTAAAGACTTAAACGTTAGACCTAAAACCATAAAAACTCTAGAAGAAAACCTAGGCATTACCATTCAGGACATAGGCATGGGCAAGGACTTCAGGTCTAAAACACCAAAAGCAATGGCAACAAAAGCCAAAATTGACAAATGGGATCTAATTCAACTAAGGAGCTTCTGCAGAGCAAAAGAAACTACCATCAGAGTGAACAGGCAACCTACAAAATGGGAGACAATTTTTGCAATCTACTCATCTGATAAAGGGCTAATATCCAGAATCTACAAAGAACTCAAACAAATTTACAAGAAAAAAACAAACAACCCCATCAAAAAGTGGGCGAAGGATATGAACAGACACTTCTCAAAAGAAGACATTTATGCAGCCAAAAGACACATGAAAAAATGCTCATCATCACTGGCCATCAGAGAAATGCAAATCAAAACCACAATGAGATACCATCTCACACCAGTTAGAATGGCAATCATTCAAAAGTCAGGAAAAAACAGGTGCTGGAGAGGATGTGGAGAAACAGGAACACTTTTACACTGTTGGTGGGACTGTAAACTAGTTCAACCATTGTGGGAGTCAGTGTGGCAATTCCTCAGGGATCTAGAACTGGAAATACCATTTGACCCAGCCATCTCATTACTGGGTATATACCCAAAGGATTATAAATCATGCTGCTATAAAGACACATGCACATGTATGTTTATTGCGGCACTATTCACAAGAGCAAAGACTTGGAACCAACCCAAATGTCCAACAATGATAGACTGGATTAAGAAAATGTGGCACATATACACCATGGAATACTATGCAGCCATGAAAAATGATGAGTTCATGTCCTTTGTAGGGACATAGATGAAGCTTTAAACCATCATTCTCAGCAAATTTTTGCAAGGACAAAAATCCAAACACCGCATGTTCTCACTCATAGGTGGAAATTGAACAATGAGAACACATGGACACAGGAAGGGGAACATCACAGACTGGGTCCTGTTGTGGGGTAGGGGGAGTGGGGAAGGATAGCATTAGGAGATATATCTAATGTTAAATGACGAGTTAATGGGTGCAGCACACCAACATGGCACATGTATACATATGTAACAAACCTGCACGTTGTGCATATGTACCCTAAAACTTAAAGTATAATAAAAAAAATCCAAAAAAAAGAAACTGCTAATAAAAAATGCACAGACTATTATAGGTTCGCAATTTGCGTAGGATAATTCAAATATTACGCTCATCCTTTGTTTTCATGATTTCACATGTTGTAGGAGAAAGAGGGGAAATACTATAATGTAGATGGCAGGAGTTTATATCAGAATGAGGCATGAGCTAAAGAAACAAAAACGGCCGGGCGCGGTGGCTCACGCCTGTAATCCCAGCACTTTGGGAGGCCGAGGCGGGCGGATCACGAGGTCAAGAGATCGAGACCATCCCGGCTAAAACGGTGAAACCCCGTCTCTACTAAAAATACAAAAAAATTAGCTGGGCGTAGTGGCGGGCGCCTGTAGTCCCAGCTACTTGGGAGGCTGAGGCAGGAGAATGGCGTGAACCCGGGAGGCGGAGCTTGCAGTGAGCCGAGATCCCGCCACTGCACTCCAGCCTGGGCGACAGAGCGAGACTCCGTCTCCAAAAAAAAAAAAAAAAAAAAAAAAAAAAGAAACAAAAACATGAGAGTTGGAGGAAAACAGGCCAGTGTATAAAACTGGCTCTTTTAAGAGGCACTGCAACTATGGAATTATCAATTTAATTAAGGAGATAATATTATAGAACAATATTAACTAATACATAGGTAGCACTTGGAATATGTCAGGCATTGTTCTATATTCTTTAAGAGACATTACTAATTTAATCCATGCAACACTCTTGTGTGGTAAGAACTATTGTTATCCTCTGAAACTAGGGCATAGAAAGATTAATTTGTTCAAGGTCTCTTAGGTGATAAGTGTGAAACCGGGATTTAATACCTTCAGTTTGTCTCTAATCTGTGCTCTTAACTGCTTTGCTACAATGCCCTCAATATATGAAATAAAATACCTTTTTGAGATCTTTAACACTTAAAAGTTCAGACAAATTATGGGTGGAGATATAGAAAATTCTCAAATAAAAGGCCAACATAAAGGTATCAGGTTAATCATTAGGGGTGATTATTAAGCAGTGCTTAAAATGAGTAGATTCTGTCCCAAGACAGAAATATTTATCACCTTTTCTGAAATCATTTTTGAGATAACCGCAACATCTTATATTCTCACTTTAATAATAAAGATGTTTAGTCCAGAAAAGAATTTTCTTGTGTTTATTGTTATTCCAGCTCAGCATCACTCTTGCCTATAGAGTAGAATGATAGGCAGAAATAATCCAGGCACTTTTGAGTCGAAATCTAAAAGTGAATAACCATGAAAAGTTCATGCAATACATTTAAGTAAGTAAGGTAGACATTTAACTAAATTCAGCTGCATGGAAGAGATGAATGGGGCACTGGATGCAGGAGAATGAAAAAAGCTAGAGGGATCAGCTCAGAAAAAAAAAAAATGTTGAGAACTAAATGGCAGCACAGATAAGCAAGAATTCTAACCTCTTGGAAATAGGAGAAAGGAGTTAAAGTAAGAAATCAAAAATCAGATGTATAATACAGCTAATTATGAAAGGGAAAGCTAATTATAAGATTCAAATATATCATTAGAAAATCGCTATGAGAAAGACTTTAAGGTTTGTGACCTAAGGATTGTGTAATATGACTTTAGTTCTAGTCTTTCAAGTTGAGTCAAAATTAAAATCTTTGCCTAGTAAAAAGTTGCTTGTATGAAATAATAGTATATATGTTTGCACTATTATCACTTAACAAATTCACAGTATATTTCCATATTCTGTAAAATCAAGCCAAGTGTCTATGAAACACCGCAAGATAAAGATTTACACAAATCTAGCTAGGCACATTTCCTTGAAGATTTGAGTAACATTTTACTTTTATCTTTCAAAAAAACTCTCTGTATTATGCAGTAAAATGAAAAATATGCATACAACTTAAAAGAGAAAACAGACTCCCAAAAAATTTTCTCTTAAAATAAGCTACTTTAGATGACTCAAACTGGAAATATGTACACGGCCTACAGGCTTTTAGAAAATCTTAGAAGACAAAGTTTAAGAAGCACTGGCTTTGTTTTGTGAGAGAAAACATTAACAAGATGGTGCACTACAGCTTTCTATACACCTCGGAGGTAGATAACAGAAGCACTCATCTACTTAAGCAGTCAGAAAAAAGGCATATTCTCCATAAGCATCTCCCCAGTGGCATAACTAAATATTCCTAGAAAAATATTGTAAAATTATGAACATCATCTAAAATTAAGAAACAATTTGAGGAGGTGTCCTTAAATGTTCAAGAGAGGAGAAACTTCAGGGGAAAAGAAGGAAAGAATGGCAAAGATGAAGAAACAAATGTTCAGCTTTGAACATACTACTTAGAGAAATAGAAAATATATGTGGCGATCCATCCTAGGGCGGTCTTTATTATTTTACAAAAGAGCAGAATAACTCCTTTATATTTAAAAGCACTACTGTATATTTATTTCATGAGCACAGCTCAACAAAAGGTTTAGAAGAAATTGGCAGATTGTAACATTGAGAAGACCAGAGTTTTAATTTCACCTCTACCACTGCCTTATTGGATGACCTTGAACAAATTAATTAACTTTTCTAAATCTCAGTTTCCCAAACTGCATAGTGAGCAGAATAATAACAATATCAAAGGGCTATTGTGAAGATTAAGTGATTTAAAATGCGTAAGAGCATAGAGCATAGCATAGAGGAGGCACTCAAAGGTTAGACGAATTTGAACAAAAACTTAGACATAGCATAAAGAAGAAGGTATACTACAGGTACAGAGCCAAAATAAAATAATAATTGAGAGAAGAGGCAATGAAGTGAAGCGCTTCAGTGGTGATTCATACTGGATCCACAACAATGTTAAAAAGTCTTCGAGAAGCAACAAATTGAGTCACTCACACACTTCCAGGGCAGGACCAAAACCTGGTTTTCATTCCCCCGGGGTACACAGAAGGCCTAGTTCGATAGGGAAATATAATTCTCATGGAGTTTCATTCAGCTTTGTATTAAATGATGACATGTGACAAGAATGCCTTAAACTTATGTTTAGAATGCACAATATCTTATACAGATGATCTATCAGTTCAAGCTCTATTAATTTTCTCCAGCATAGTTTTCAATGATAAAAATATTGCCACTGGGTGATCTTTTTCTCCAAATTGTTATTAAAAATAAAAGGTGAATGGAAGAAAGGGAAAAGGGGATGGAGGGGATATAAAAAGGAGAAAAAACTATATTGGTTACAATGTAGTAAAAAGGGATGAAAGTACCAGAATCAGGGTTAGTATTGTTTTGACACTCTTCCATCAAGAAAACCTAGTGTCTGTTTATTTTAAGTAATTACAGCCCTGTGTTCTTGACATATGCTCAACCAGCGTCCCACTGAGATCACAGCACTTCTTCTGCTATATTATACTCTGCTTACTCAATCATTTTCTATCACTGGGCATTGTTTGGAGCTCTTCACTAAAAGCAATATTTTGGCCATCCCCTTACTAAGCATTTCTCTGTAATTGACAATTTATTGTTTGGATTATATTTTCATTTATTTAGCAAAATGTATGTAGCATTGGCTTTGGGCCATTCACTGTTTAAGCACTTTAAAAATAATATCTCATTTAATCTTCCTAACTCTAAGGGCTAAGAACTATTATCCCCATGTTACATGAGAATACACCCAGTCACAGAGAGACTGAATAACTTGCCTAAGGCCACACAGCCACATGGCAGAGCTGGAGTATAAACACAGGCTCGGGAGGCCAGGCCTTTATACAGTACCATATGTCACCCTTCAAATAGGATTAAGTGGGTTAACACATATAAATATCATGGAATAATATCCAGCATATGGGAAGGCATAAACAAATGTTAGATATTCTTTATGTTTTTGTGATGGTATTGTTCAGATCATGTATGAATATATTTGGTACTGGTAGGGTTTATTTGAAATGTCCCCATTGGCCAAAACTATTGCCCACCTTTTGCTTATTTGTAGAAAGGTTTACATTTTCCAGGTTGTTAACTGGGATATGGTTTAGAATAAAAGAAAAGCCTCACTAAGTGAAGTTACACTGGGGCTTTGACTTCTGATGGATCTACTAAGTTTGTCATTCTGGCACAGAAGAAAATAAGATTAATCCAACAAGAAGTGTTCTTCATGGAGTCACATTGATTTTTGTCTGCATTAGATGTTCTTCCAGGTGCTTACAAAATTGATCTATTCCAGGTAAGCAGGACATCCATCATTTTCTGGGTTTGTCCTTTTTTTGTTTGCTTGTTTTTTAAATGGCATTAAGCTTATGTGTTCCTAAGCATATATTACAAAAGCACACACAGGAAAGAATCCAATTTTCTATACAACAAAATTTTTTCCTTGTGTTGCTTAACATATATGTCATTATCCATTAAGAGAAGGTATCATTCTAGTACATCTAGGGTACTTTCTTACCCTCCTTGACACAATCGGCTTGAAATCTAAACACATTACAATCTTTAAATAGCCTTTGATGACATTCAAAACAAAAAAAGGGCATAATTATTGGTGTAGCATTCTTGATATCACTGAATTTTCATTTCATATGGAGACATTAATTTTTCAAAATTTAGTTAATTTTCTGCTTGAGCTGTGACATCACTTACACGCTCATAGTTATATAATAATAAAACTCTTCCAAAAAGCTCCAAATGGCTCATGTTCTTCCAAAACAGCTATTTGTAAGTAGCGTCTAAAAATTGCTAACTCGGTAATGTTTTGAACTAATGCATAATATTTTAAATACTACAAACTATAATATGATCTTTTATGCATATTTGCTGATGCAATTTTTAGAATGTGTTTTAAAGGAAGATGCTACAATTTCTTCTAAATACTGTGCATCAAAACACCTTCTTGCTACAGTGACCATTCTTTAAATACGCCTGTTATTGATAAAGAAGAATCTTTAGAGATTAGGTGACCATAAAATGCAAAGAGCCCTGAATTGCTGGTGATAGTTATTCAAATATGGATACAGTGAACATACATAATAATATATATGCAATTTGTTTTTAAGATAGTTATTTTCTGATTTTTATAAAAATTTCAGCCTCATTAACAGCATTTGAAATTCTCTTATGGTTCTTTTTTTTTCTTTGAATTTACAAGAAAAATCTCTCAAAGCTCATTATAAACTATGATTAGTTCTACTTTTGAACTGGATTTCATAAAAGCTTTAAAGGATTCAGATGAAAAACCTGATTATTACAGTTTCCCTAGAAACACGGGAAACAGTAAAAACACCTTAGAATCCAAGACTTTTTGGCAGTATTTTACAGTCCATCTGCTGTGTTCAACTATTATGAGAATACAAACAGAATAACTATCATTTAAATATCATTGTGTATAATTACATTTTGCTAATAAGTAAAAATAATTTATATTGTCTTTATGATCTGTAACGAAATAGTACATATTAAGGAAAGCAGGAAAGGAACAAAAGAGAAGATGAAGTGAGGGAGAGTGGGAGAATAAAAGAAAGGAAAGGACACAAAAGGAAAGAGGGAATAAGAAAAAGATGAAGTTTGCATCTCCATCACTATCCAGTGGCTGGCATGTGTTTTAATAGCTTTGGAAGATCAGAGAGTCAGCAGCTTGCTAAATTGCATCCCTCGTATCTATGAAAGGGGGTTCCATAAGCTTCTAAACTGTTTTACTTAAGTACATTCACTCATTTATTCATTTGTTTTTTAACAAAATATGTACTACACAAAATGCTATGTGCCATAGGATGTGGGAGAGGCTGGAAACTTAATAGCGAACAAGACATAATTTTGACTTCAAGGATCTTAGAGATCACTGGGGAGACAGAAATAGATTGGAAAATTACTAACTGTTTTATCTGCCCAGCATCCTTTCTCACCTTCATCCCAGTTTGTTTGTTTGGTTGGGTTTGTATAAGGGTGTAGTGTGTGTGTATGTGTGTGTGTGTGTGTGTGTGTGTGTGTGTGTGTGTGTGTGGTTGTGTGCGCTGGGGTGTAACATCTGTTACCCGGTCCTTTGGGCGACTTCTAATTCCTAGCCCATCCCATCTTCGATATAACACTCTCAGCCAATATTCTTACTGAACCTTGGTTCTGGTGGGTCTGGAAGTCATAGTGCTTGGTTCTCCTCTCCTACCAACTTCCTTTCTAATTCACTGCTTTGGCCACAGAAGTGTTATGACTTAATTTAAATCAATTGGTTTTCCATGGAAATTTGAATACTGAACACAGACATGTAGCAATAGAAGTGTTTTAAAACTGAGACATCTACAAATAGTCTGCAAATTCTACTACTGAGATTCAGGGCTGCCATGATTCCCATCTTTCCTCAAGACTTGATTTCCATTTTTCATTAAATTTTGCAAACTACAGATATCCTCCCCCCAGATCTATTATTCTTGCTTGCACTACTTAAATTGGTCTTAAAATTCTGGTGTATTAATGGCTCTAATATATCATGTAAAGTATCAAGACTACTCCCATGCATTAGCCCAGAAAAACAGATGTTCTGAGCCTAATTCTTTATGGAAACCTTACTTAAGCAAAAATCCAAGGTCAATATAATTACATTATATCTGTAAATCAAGGAAATTTAAATTAGAAAGAACTTTCAGGCAAGGTCATCCAGTCTCTTATTCACAGTTTTAGAAAACATCTTATAACTAGAACTGCTTGAATATACCCACTAGTGAGCAATTCAAACTGCACAAGACTGTAGTTTCATATTTGTATGCTTCTAGTTATCAGAAAGACCTGACATTTAAAGTTTGCTTCCTCATACATTTTTATCTAACTTTCCTTTTTTTAATTTTTCATTTTTGTGGATACACAGTAGGTGTATAAATGCAGTACATGAGATGTTTTGATTCAGGCATGTGAGGTGAAATAATCACATCATGGAGAATGGGATATCCATTTCCTCAATCATTTATGCTTTGTGTTACAAACAGTCCAAATACACAATTTTAGTTATTTTTAAAAGTATAAATTATCATTGACTATGGGCACCCTATTGTGCCATCAAGTACTAGGTCTTATAATGTTTATGTAGCTTTTCAATGAAAATTATGTTCTTTGCCATGTCCTACAAAGATCTAAACTTAAACTGACACTGGCACTATCAAGCAGTCTTTTTATATGCACCAAAGTAAATTGTCAGAATAAACTCAAAATTCTATAAGATGGAGTTGCAAAAGAATGTATATCTTCATAAACCACAGCTTTGACCACAGAGAAAAATAACTATTTCTGAATGAATATCTAAAAATCAGGTGAAAAAAATGCCAAGAAGTGCTGACCTTTCATGGCAAGCTGCCAAGAAATATTACTTTATTGGCAGGTGGAACAAATTCAAAGGCCAAATATCAATGGATGCACACTTATTCTCCAATTTTTAATATGAATCGATGAATCTTAAAGAACTTATGAGATAATGTAGCTAAAGCCCTATCAACTTGCTGCGACAAAACTGAGGCATGAGAAGAAACTTCTAAATAAAGTTGCTGCCACTTTTTGAAAATTCAGAGCTCGAAGGTAAAATTTCTGGTATGTTAAAATTAAAAAAAAATCCTACAGCCAAAACAAAATTTTTTTCATGTACGAACATGACTTAGGACCTTGAGAATTGTGTTTATGACTCAGCCATGTAGAATCCAAAGTATGAAACACAAAAAATAATGTACTTAGAGATGTCATGTTAGCAAAGAAAATAAAAGATAAAAGAAGGCCCACTAGAAACCTACATGAAGAAATGTAGATAATGTAGATTGTCTGTTACTTACTACTACTATCCCTCCTAGGCAGATGACTTTATTGCAAATATCCAAACTGTTAACTTTAAAACTTTAGGCAATTAATCTGAGATGACACTTTATAGTTGATATAAATACTCAATTTTCTGATTTCATCATGTAAAACTTTAAAATAAAAGCCTTCAAGTATTCAGATTACTTCCTTTCTTCCATTTCCATGATGGCTTTATTAACATTTTGGAATTTGGAGTTTAGATTACAGTACTTTATATTTGTTGGATATTCCTATCGGGGATGTCTTTTCACCAAATATTTATGTTTCTGCTATGTATGGTTGCTATTACAATCTGGTAGTTATAAGTTTTCAAAGAACTAAATAAAACTGAAAGGTAAAATTTGCTATCTACAACAGAAGTGAACTGGCCTTCAGAAGCTTTTATTTTTATTTTAAGAGTCTGTGTTAATCATTATCTAACTAATGGTATGAAGTGACAGTTCAATTTCTTTGCCTCTAAGTAATGATTATTTGTTGATTGATTCAATATTCTTTGATTTGCTAGATGAACCCTGAAATTCTCTTTTTTTTTCAACATGCCAGATTTTTCCTTTGTGTGGTACTATATCTGACACGTTCAAATTATAATAATAACACATTTATCAACAAGTTAGCAATCTAGCATTCACTACCACATAAAATTTGGTTGGAATTCTAAGCTGACAAAGGAGGTCTCTGGATAAATTTCACAAAACATTCATCAAGGCAACAACATTTTAATTATCAGAAAAATCTCAGATATTTATTCGGAACCCATTTGTCCTTGTTCTACAGACATTTCTAACACAGTCACATATTCACAAATGGTAATTAAATGAATAAAACAAAGAAGCAGTACTAACCCCAGTGAAGCCACAGTTGACAGGAAGGACACACTATAGCAGACAAGGATCCTTTAGAGCAAATACAAGCAGGGTTGAATTTAAAAAAAAAAAGATACTGAGGGCATTTGTGTGTCAATATTACTGACTCACAAAATATTATCATTGATAGTCTTAATTATGAGCTCAGGCTGTCAAGATAAATTTTAATTATGTTTAACCTACTATGTATAAGAAAGTCAAGAATATAATGTCTATCATAAAACTTTATAATAAGCAATTAAAACTTTACTTATTTGTAAAAAAATTTACCAATACTTAAAATGGTAATTTTAATTATAAGAAAAATTCGGATGAGAAAATAATGTGTTCTCTAGTATTATCAAATAATGCACAATGCCACATACAAACACAGAGATCAGGATAGTTTTTCAGAACTACACTTTACTGTCAAATTTATATGTGTGCCTGGAAATTCAGTTGCCATCACTAAAATTAGATTAACTGATTCTAAATTCTGGATGATGCAATTGAGCATCATAGCATCTTGAGACAGTTCTAGTCCTGCAAATATAAGCCACTGGTGTACTTTACAGTAATAACACAAACCAAAATCATACTGTAAGCAAAAGATTCTAGGTTATGATATGCTATTATGAACAGTCTTGTTGGTTTCAAATGTTATTGTTGTGCATACATTCTTGTTTCTATGGCAATAAGTAGTTCCCTTTATTGTAGCTTTTATTGCAGTCATTCTGAAACTGAATAGTTCATCTCCATCATATTTCGGAATACTTCTTGCAAACAATACTATGCAGATGGTTTTAGGAAAATTTTAGTATGATAGGCATGTGCTAATAAATATCTGCTCACAGCAAGGTATTACCTCTAGCTTTATTGAATTGCTTTGTTTGATGGCAGTGGCATATGTAAAACAGTCCACTCGAAAATAGGAGTCTTAGAATTCCTCTCCAGCTGCATCATTAATGATTTGTAGAGGTCATCTAATGACTCTAGTCATGTTTCTTCAATTAAATAGAAAACTAGAGAAACTATTGATAGTTCTCATAAGTTCATAGGACAATTTGAAATCCTCTCACATCATTTCATCTTGCCAATAATATTACCTTCTCTTTGTAGCACAGATGCCCATCTGGCCACAAACACTGGAACATAGATAAATAACTTAAAAAAGCCATTGCTTTAGCCTCTGTCTCCCCCCAACATATAATCTCCCTGATTTGCTTAAACACACACACACACACACACACGCACACACACACAAACACACACACACAAACACACACACATTCTACTCTTATTTTGGGTACATAAAACAACTTATTAAAATGTTGATTAGTTTTCCATCTACTGGCTTTTGAGGAAATAACAATGAGCCCATCTGGCTGGAACCAATACTCATTAAGCAAAATAAAGTTGTTTCAGTTGATTTGTCAACAATATGGGAAAAATACAATTTCCTTTTCAGTGTTTATTGAAAGAATAATATTTAATATGAATTCATATTTGATATGATTTTCCAATAACAAGGAACCAACAAGGAGATCCAAGAGTCCTCCACGGGAATAAATAGATCAGTTTCAGGAGCACTTTAACTTCTCCGGCCTGTTTGGATATTGCTTCTAGGTCTATTAGAATAATATACTAAACATTACTCCAGAAAACTAAAACAGCTAGCATACCTCAAAGTATTTTGACCATTTCTACAAGAAACCAACACCATACCACTTGGTTCAAAAGCCATACATTTAGAATTTTTATCTTTTATTCCTAATGAAGATAAAAATTATAAACACAATATTTATGGGTAATATTAAGCTCATTTGGATTGCAATAATGGGACATTGATTAAAACTAGAATAAATTTGACCTTTTGACTAAGAATTATTATCCATTGGAAGAATCTAGCTGAATGTGTATGAACAACCTCACTGAAGGAAAATTTTGATAACCATATCAATAATCTGATTATAATCCAAAATAAGTTGGTAAATATTTATCTAAAAATATAAAAGGCAATTTTGCAACCAGAAGTAAAATCACATTTTTTTCAAATACTACTTTTATATTTTATTGTGTATCTCTCTATCTAAGTTTTTGAAACTTTAGCCTGGGTATAATTTTTACTATAAGTCTTAAAACGTAAAATAAAGCAGAACAAACCTAATAGCAATAAGATAATTATAATCAAAGAAATGTAATCCTTGTTAATGTCTTTTCTAAGTCTTTTGCTTTTTGTGTGGTCCTACCCCTTATACCCCAACTCTTAGATTTTGTGTCTGGAGAAAACTGAATGTGTAGATTTCCTTCAGATAAAACCTAACATATAGGGTGAATTAGAAGATAAGCATGCTGGAACAAAAAAAAGAGATACGCCTTAAATCATTCTTGAAAATTGCATACTTTTTTTCTGGTTTAATAGCCTTCTATCTAAGACGCTGTAGAAACCAAGTCATCTCTGACGTACAACATGAATAGAGTATGTTGAAGCAATGTACATCATCCCTGAACGCTTTTTATTATTAGAAATAGTGGGGCTTCAAAAGCAAGTTCACACACATACACAAAAAAACTTTTTTATCCTTTCAAAATGTCAAAGAAACAAATGGGAAATTGAATTAATAAAAGGTAATCAGTGTAATAATCTCAGATGACTGTGAAATTATTGTTTGTCCCTCAAGATTTCCTATCTGCTACCATAAAAGTAGGAAGAATTAAGTTCATCAATTTAATGAGATTTTAAAAAACGTTAGAACCTGCTATCAGGCTATATACAGTATCTCTGAAGCATGGCTTGCTAATTGGTTTGATGTTTTGTTTAAACATTAAGGTGTGTGTGACCAAAACATTTGCACAATACTTCGTTTAGGTGCTTACTGTCATTAAAAGCAGCATTTTGCAGCAACGAGATGTTCTGTCTTCATAAAATATGTCAACATAATGAAAAAAAGGGAAAAATCACAGCAAGTGAATTGTTCAACATAACTCATCCATATCATATATAATTATAATACAACAATTGCTCCTTAAGTAGGAAAGAAATCAACAATTGTACAATGTGGCTTTTTAAATTTTTCATACTAGAGTTAATTCAGTGGGGGGAAAGAGGATGTGAGCAGATATATTAACAACTGAAATAAGAGCATTGGTAATTGTTTGATTACCACTTTAATTAAAAAATGATCAGCCATTTGTTATTCCCGATTTCCCAAACAAAGCCAACCTGTGATACAGTTCCCTAGCCTCTACTTTATTTACATTGAAAACAAAAAGTTATCTAACATGGACAGGAAAAGAATTATGCCTTAGATCAAAAAGTGAATTTTCATTTTCATGTGGTACAACCAAGCAGTTATATTCTGTTAGTTGACAAGTACGATATTGCTACCATACTGATGTAATCTCAGTTTAAGTCCAATATTTCATGAATGTTTCTCATTTCTAGCCAAGATTTAGAGATATCAACAGTAAACACATCATGCCTTTATAGAGGTTTTCGTTCCCCTCTGACACACCATTTTAGTGATACATTTTGTTACATTAATAGAATTCTGTTTTTTTTCACAAGACTGAAGCAATACCTAGTCATTTTCAAAGAAAAATCATACTTTTTGCTACTTGTAGAGAGTGTAGGGTATTATGCCACAAAATGAAACTACTTTGCTTTTAGTCATAAGCAATACGTTAATGATGTAGCACAGAGCTCAGCAAAATAATGTCAAACTAATCTGCAATCTGCCCAGAAAAAATGAAATGTCAGCCAGTTCTACCAAATGGCAAATGGCTTTGCTGTTCAAGTACACGGCTTATAAACCTACTGGTTTAGAGTAAGAAAAAAAAAGAGGAAAGAAAAATCAAAAGCTTTGAAAAAAAAAGTCATTATGATGGTGAACTTTTATTCTCTGTCAGAGAAAAATACTAAGATTTTGTTGATGGCGTTTTAGTTGGTGAGTTTTGTTGTTTTAGTGCAATTAGAATGATTCATTTCGTAGCTCAAAGATATGCTACCATTTTTGAGGGTTTATAGGATAATATGCTTCAAAGGAATTATACATAGACTGTCTTCCTCAAACTTTGTTAAAAATAGCCCTTATAACTAAAACCACTAAGTGGAATTTTGTACATATAGTCATCAATCTGTGCCAATGTTCACAAGAGTTTCCACAGATTGCATTAGGAATGCATCTCACATAAAAGACTAGCAAAACAACCAGGTTCCTTTAGATCATTTGGGCTGACTTTGAAACCACTTATCACAATAATCAGATGTAGACATAATATTCTGTGGGTAAGAAAACAAAAATAGTGTATTTAGAAACAGCATAACTTAAAAAGTTATTTACTTCCTCAAAAATCTAAACACCACAAATTGGCTGAAGCTTTTCTGTATTAAAGCATAAAATGAAAACATTGAATACTGTTTTTTAATACCAGTGTCTAGTCAGCAATGTCAAACAAATCTCATGCCAGTCATTCATAATAGGAGATGCATAGTTGCAAGGATCTGTCTACTGAAAGCAGACTAAGGCTAGAAATACCACTAAAATGTATATTTCAAAAAAAAAAAATAAAACTATGTGTATCACAAATGCTGCTTCTGATTAACTTAATCCATAACTTTAGTGATTGAGGAAAATATCTGTATTATCTTGGCCTGCTTGCGATGCTTTTGTAAGTATTGCTTCTCAAATCTGTATTTTTTCCCCTTAATGTCAATGAGGCATGAAGGTATGAAAGGAAAGAGGGTGTATGATACTCAAAATCAGAAATTCACAGCTAGAAAAAGACAAATGCAAAATAAATATGAAATGTTATAAAGCTATATTCAATCAATTCCAGTAACAGCATACCTGGATAGTCATGGATGGTATTTTATTCTGAAGGCAGATGTTTAATTTCCTTCATAATGAAAATAAGTGGTTCAATGGCTGTCGCATAGTAAAATCACTGAACTCTTGTACCTAGGCACTTACATTCAAACCCAGAGCACGATTCACATTGTCTCTGCACTGCCCTATCAGCATGACTGGCCTAAGGCATTGTCAGCATGGAAGGTGTGATAGCCTCCCATGACATCTCAGCTACATCAAAAGACCATTTAAAATTTCTGAACAGGCTTGCCTTCTCTGAATAGTTTTGTAGATTAAAAATCCTCTCATAGGCACTATGATACCTTACAAAGGACATCAGAGGGAGGGTACAACAAAGTGTGAAAAAAAATCTTTCTCCCAAACTTGACTCATGCCTCTTTTGCAGCCCACAAGTTAACTGATTTTAAATTTCTATTTTTTTCTCTGATATACATCAATGCTTTTTTTTGTTCTAATTGATACATTAATCCCTATACTGTTATTTATGCTTGTACACTTGTATTACCCCTTCTTAATTGCACTTCTTGGAGACTTTCTCACTTCTTGTAGTCAGGTAAACTTAATCCAACTAAAGCATCACTTCCCAAAGGGCATTTATTTTAAGGAAATAGGAAGAGCATCCCCTGCACAAGAGATCTAAAAGTCAAAGTGCTTATCATGGTATTTAAAAACCTCTATAAACTGGCCTCAAAGTAGTTTCACAGTCTGATTATAGATGATAAGCATGCTAAAAGCTAAGGATGAATAGAACCTATGTTGATAATGTCATGGAAAAGTTGGAGATAAGTTGAACCTAATTGTTCATTTTGTTTTAAATATAAATTTCCTCAACTTATTTATTTTAGCCTCCCTTCTGTGTCTTTTTCATCCTTTCTTTTCCTCATATCCCTTTCCTCTATGTAAATATATTGAATGATTCTATCTGCACAGCACTAAAGATATAAAAATGTGTAAGACAAAGTCCTTTCTGTTTTCATCTTAATTCTTTGTTGTCTTCTCACTTCTTTAAACTCAAGTCTGCATTTTTGCATTGGTTTATTTCCAATTTTCCATATACTTCTTTAGGTCTTCTAAGATCTCTTTAGGACTCTGAGATTCTTTTTAAGATTCCATTATATATATATACATATATGTATGTGTGTGTGTATGTATTCCATCATAACATATATTTTACCACATTTACTAAAACTGACTCTTTAGTATCTTATTCATTAAACTTCGAAATCTGTCCCTATTCCCAGCTCTTTCCTAAAAGTGTTATATTAAGGACACAAATAAAACTTTAAAAAAAAAAAAGGTCTCCCCAGACATCATTCTTTTATGCAAAAGGTGATAAATATTTATTATATGTTTGCTATCTGCACCTGGTGCAGGACTAAAAATAACTAAGTCTCTATTCTATCGGAATTTATAGTATAATTTTCTGTTCCACAGGCATGTACATGCAATAATGTATAATGGAAACAACACATGGCAAAAGGTACATAAGAGGAGTGATCAGACCTATCAGGTGATGTTAGAAAATGTTACTCAGATAAGAATGTTAACTGAGCTTGTTCTAAAGATGAATGGGAATTCTTCAGAATAGAAGAAAGAGCATTATAGAGAAAGGAAGTAACCAGCTTCAAAACAGCATGGAGTGTTTGAGGAGCTGTGATTAGGTGAATGTAGTTGGAGCAGTAAGTGGAAGAGCATTGAAATTAGATAGATAGACCAAAACACAAACGGCACCCCACCACAGAAAAGAGTATGATTTGTAACCTGAGAAATTGAGAGTCTTTGCAGCATTTGTTAAAGAGAAAAATAAAAACAATACTTAGGTTTTATAAAGACAATTTTGTTTTCTAATGGGCTTTGGGATATAGATAAAACTGGAGCCAAGAAGACAACTTGGTAAGTTATTGCAATGTTCCAAGAGCAATTATGAGACCTGGAATCAACGAGTAGCAGTAGGAGATCATGGGGGCAGAATGAGGTATCCACTTGTGAGATGTTCAGGAAGTAAATCTGATAGAACAAGGATCAGATTTAGGACACGAGGATAGCTCAACATTCAGATTTCTGATAGCCTGGATAATGGTGCTATTAACCAAGATAGGGCTTAGGGAGGAGAAACAGACTGCATGTGGAGAGGCATGATGCATTCAGTGTCATAATCCTTGATTTAAGGGAACTATTCATAATGCCATTTGGCTTATCTGTAATACAAAAAAGAGACTGCCCTTTCATTTGGAAGTCTCTGGTAATAGGTTATAAACCTATATACCTATATCCACATAGGTGGATATCTCAAGCAGGAGAAGGAGGTTCTATTGTAATTATACAGTCTCCTTTGAGGACTTCAACTACCTTATCTTCTATAACAACTTCTAGAAAGACTCTCAAATATATGTTACTTGTCACTTTTCTTTTTCATTTATTCATTTAAACAATTTTGAGCGCCTATAATCAGTACCAGTTATATATACATAGCCATATATATGTATGCCTATGTATACGTATATACGATGAGACCTGGTCCTTTTCTTTTGGAGGAAAACAATAAAAGCAAATAAAATTTTGTAAATTCTATATTAGAAGTATGTATAATTATATGGGACTATGGAGGAGTCTTCAATTTTGACTAAAGGAAAAGATGGGACTTGACAGAGCTCTTGATCCGTATTTCTAATGGGTTTATCAGATATCCTGGGATACTCTATGGCACTTCAAACTGATAAGTCTAAAACCAACTGAAGCTTTAACTGTATAACTTTTGATAAATTGCTTAACCTCAGTTTTGTTTTCCTACATACAATGAAATAAGAGGAATAAAAATGATCACTTTCAGATCTCACATTCCGATTCTCTGAACCTTTATCACTAATGTGTAGCTCTTTTGAAATTGCTTTATTTAAGCTAATGCTACCAGTATTCGTCAATGGCTCTTTCCTCCCCTTTGCCTTCCTTACCCTTTCAGTCTGTAAGTTCTGTTCATTCTCCCTCCAAAAAAACTTATGGTGTCTCTGCTGCACTTTCATTCCTGATGCTACTGTCAAATTCCATGTCATGTTTGCCTCTGTAGATTATTGCAGTAACCTCTTAAATGTCATCCATAATTCCAGTGTCAGTCACCAAAAATTTCTTCTAAAGGTTGTTTCCAGAAAAACTTCTAAATAAGGGCTTCTCAGTAATCATTACTCATTCAAAAACTGCAACTGCCCCCATCCATACTTGCCTATTAGATAAAGCCAAATTTGTATTCTTCAAGGTTTTCCAGGATCTGCCAACAACTAGTTTCCAACTTTATTTCATCCATATGTATCCACCTTATTTTTATCTCATTTCTGCTTCCACCAACTAGATTATTTTCGTGAATACATAACCTATACATAGCTATAATTTCCTTCTAATTGTTATGTTTTTCACTAATGTATCTGTTTAAATATTGTTCAGAATGTTTTTTGACATGGCTTTTAAAATACTTTGTTTCTTTTATAAAATTGATTCATAGTCGCTGTAAATGACTCAAACAGAAAAATGCAAAGAATAGGTAAAACTCATTTGAAATTTTACAATTCAAACTAAGACAATTCTCTAGATTTAAATATATGCAAACAATTATATACAAATAATTCATACTTTATAACTTTTGTTGCTTATCTTGCTCTCTTTAATGCACCAGCATGTTGCAGTTATCCAGGTTTAAAAAATGTTATTTGAATCATCATTTTACTTCCACATATTCCACTGTATATAGACTCAATATGTAGTCAGCATGTACCAGAAGAGGATACAGGCTGGCATCTGTCCATCCTAAAAAGTCAAACATCTACTCTGAATTGTCAGTGTATACATTATACTGGCTGTTACATATTTTTTAATGTCTCTCTAATTTTAGAAGTGCCATTATTTACCTAAGCAGTCTTCCCTTGATGGACAACAAAAGGCAATACTTTAATCAATTGTTAATAAAAATGAATTGTATTTATCCTTTGATATACTGCTAAGACAATTTCTTCTGTTAAACCATTTTCAAATTCCCCAGCTAGAAATAATCTCCATCCTTCTTCTGAATTCCCATAGGACTTTGTCCAGGCCTCTGCATTCATCACTTTCAACCTTGGATTCTAATTATTTCAGTCTTCTTTCCCTAATAGAATATAAGCTCCTTTAGGACACCAACCCTCTTTATAGATTCCACAGTTGTTGGATCGATGCCTCGCACATTATAAACATTCAAAACTTGTTTGTAGAATAAATGGTTGAATTAATGAATATCAAAAAATAGATCAACAGAGCACACTATATCACAAGGGCAATTCAGCATTCAGCATGTTGAAATTATTTGTAAATGCTCAAATAAATTATGTAACTTATCCTAAATTATCTAGTAAGTAAATTAGCAACTCTCAACGACATTAGAAAGAATAAGGAGAAAAACCTATCAAATAGCAATTTCTCATAAAGCAATTAGAGAAGCAATTAATGAGTGGTGAGCCTTGGAGACTATAATGGAATTATCGGGTGAGAATACATTCATTTAGCTATCATTCCTCTAAATGCCAAGCAAAATTCTACAAAGTTCATTCACTGATGATGCTCTGCTGTAGGAAAGCTGAAAAACTGGAGACACATAAACTGAATTGTGTAAACTATATTTTGAGTTTTGCCATGGTCAGTAGATCCCAAAATAATTTTGAAATTTAAAGAGATATAAGAAGTGAATAATAACTCAAGTTCAATTTCTGCAGGCATGGGGTTCCTAGGCACTCCTACTTTTTGTTAATGAGAAAGAAATTCAGCTTAATACTCCATCTGGACCACTTATCAGACAGAGTGAAAGGCATGGATTTTGCCTTTAAGAGAAGATATTCATAGGCTAAGCCATAAGATCACTCAACCTCATATTTTAGCAAGTTGTCTTTTCTCATTGCCAGTTGCATTGTACAGAAAATCCCTTCCTCATCTTAAATTTCTTAACCAAAAGAATGCTATGAGTCTGTAGTATCATCATGTACTGCATATAGGGAATGGAGGAAAAGGACAAAATGAGTTATGGTTTCTGGACATATCATAATTAGGAAGCAGATTTGGTATTTTCTTCTTTAGAATTTCAAGTCAACCATTTAACTAAACCTTATTGTTTTATGTGTGATCTCTGTTCAGTTCTAATTGAACACTAGGACCCTGATATAAGCCGGCTTGCCCGAAAGTGAGCCTGAGCCAGTAACACTTTGAAAACTGCAGAGGTGTGTTTGTTCCCATCCTTATGGATGCTTGTCATTCTATGGTAGAGTCAGGTTTGGCTCAGGAACATCAGAAAATATAATAGAGTTTCACAGTTCCTTACCTGAAATTTGAAAACCTAAAAAGTCTGAACAAAAAAAAATTGCTAGCTCATTTCATAGCAAAACCTAACCTTAATTGACCTGAGCTAATTATAGTTTTTATTCTTCCCACATAATGTAACTATTTTACAGACTTGGCTGTGGAAATATTAAAGTGTTTAAGAGTTTCTACCCCAAATCCTATAGTGGGTGTTATATAATATAGAGTATACATAACTTCTAAAATCTAAAATATTCTTAACTCCAAAACTCATCTGGCCCCACATGTTTTACATGAGTGACTGTGGACCTGTAATGATAATAGCTAATATTTACTAGATGCTTGCTTAGTGCCAGCACCAGTCTAAGCACTCTGTATTAATTAGCTAACTCAAGATTTAATTCTTCTTTGCAAGAACTCTATGATTATACACATCTTACAGTTGAAGAAATTGAGTTAAAGTAGGTTCAGCAACTCACACAGCACACTAAGTGGTAAAGCTGGGATATGAACCCAGCAGTCCTATGCCATAGCCCACAGACCCTACAAATCCATGCCACCCCTCCATGATTTGTTGGAACACATCTGTCCTTTGGAATAATTAACCACTCAAGAATTAACTATTTTCCTTGGTCTACAAGGAAAAATAAAAAACAAAATCATCCACCAGTTCTCTCTCTTGCCAAAATTTTCTTAGAGAAAAAGAGTGGATAGATAAGAAAAGAACACCTATTTTCCTATTATTTTCCAGATAATTCTACTGGGTTGTGCATACTAGACTGTACCTCTAAAGTATAGCCCTTGAACAAGCTCTTAAGATGACCACTTCTGGCATCTTCTGATGAGATCTGAAAAACACCAGAAAAACCACTGTGCACAGCTTGCTACAACCCACAAAGCCAAGGAAACAAACAGGTGAGGCTGACATTTATCAAAATCACAAAGTCGAGAAGTGGTTGACATGTTCGGAAATAAAAACAATTTCAAACTACATCACTTCCGTTTTTAACTGAAAATTGACACTTTAATTTTAGTTCCAAATATCTCATGATCATAATATATCTGCCTTGATAAGAGGTATCTCAGACTGTCCTTTTTTGGTGAGCTTTGGGGGATCCTGAAACCTCCTAATCATTGTTATGAGACCTCCTTTCTTTTGTTTCTGAAGGAAGTAAAGGCTATGGGCCTCTAATCTGAAAATTGATTGGTGGAATTTGATTATGATACAGCAGTTTTCTGTGTTTTAGCAAGCACTTTAGGAAAAAAGAATAATAACATAGCAGTTTTCATTTGGATGACAGTACTGTGTTTAAACATGTGACTGATCTAGAGTTAACTTTTCTAAAAGGATGAGCAGATTGTTTTTCCTGCAGTGGGGCAGCAGGGTTTGAGACTCAGATCTCCCTGCAACCTTTAATATGATCAGATGCCTAGTGTTTATAATCTGTCCACTCTCTGAAAGGGTAGGGCCAGACTTTGCTGGAAGCAACAATAAAAGGACATGAAAACATTCATTCTGGAATAGCCTAAGGGTATGGGAGACAGGCCATGTCTGTGACACTGATGTACACCCGTTGGAACCTGCTAGGAGAAGTGTTGCCTCCTCTGAACCCCCGGAGAGGATTCAGCTTTCTACAGGACCCATGGTGTGCATCTGTTGGAACCTGGTAGAAGTGTTGCCTCCTCCGAACCCCGGGAGAGTATTCCGCTTTCTATGGGGCCCATGGGCTAAGGGGGTGATTCCACTTACTTCTTTGTATCAGTTTATGCTACAACCTGTGTACAGAGATGAGAACTACAACCTGTAGCTTCCTTTTTTGACTGGTGATCATATCCTTTCTTTCCCTCTGTATGGTAAGAAGTGACAGGCAGCATTAAGCTCTACCACCCTTCCTTATAGCATCACCCATTTAGAGGAAAATGAAACTTCATCAGCTACACAACTGAAGTTAGAAAATTAGTGCTAACCAATATATCAGCCCTTAATTAATCTGCCACATTTAAGGTGAGAGAATATAATAAACCAGCTACATTTTGTGATTTTTGATTACCCAACAAGTTATCTCAGCAAAGGTATTAAAACTAATTTATGTTTATTTTTTCTAGTTTAACATTAAAAAATAAGCAAATGCATATAGTTTTCTAAATATACTCTAATTATTAGCAATTCTAGCCTAACTCTCCCATCCAATTTCTATTTTTAAAAATTCTATCAATTAGTATCAGGTTTTAAAAGTCCTAGAGTTGCCAAATCATGAATTGTGTTACAAGAGCAAAAACAGAAGCAAATCAATACCCTATTAATAATATTAATAATGATCACAGTGATTAAGGTTTTTTCTTTTCTGAATTGAAGTCAAGGGTGATTGTGAAGGATAACACACAGTGAGCCATCTGCACTGAGGTCGGACAGATAGAGCAGTTGGTCTCAGTATACATCTAGGAATCAATTCTGCTCTGCTGCTCTTTCCAGACATCATTTCAGTCGCATCTTCTGGTTTATCCACGCTGATCTCTATGATCCTGATATATGTTGCTATACTTTACTCCCATTTTATTCTTCACCCTGTCACACCTTCTACAGCACAGGTAGTGTCTGTTTCCTTCCATTTTATTCATCACAGTATACAGTCCTTACAACAGCATTGTACTCAGAAGAGAAAGTAGGAAATTGTGAGCGTGATTAATATGCAAACTGGATAATCCTCCCTCATGTAACAGAATTGACAGCATGTAATTACACATGCACATTATTTTCATAAAGTTGTTCACTCAGGTCATGTTTGAAATTCACAGCGAACTTATTTTTTATAAAGTGGGGGCTGTGAAACAAGGAAGTTTGACTCATCCTAACGCATAAGGAAATTAAAACCCAAGTATAAAACTATATGAATGATTTCAGCAGTTTGTTCTTACCTAAAATTCAAGAATGGGTCCTTTAAATGTATCAGGTGTTTGAAAATAAGGAGAGAATTGTTAACTAAGATCCTATATGTTGCACTGGATGTGTTTTCCCCTATTTTTACTGTTTCCTACACATCTGATATCATAGGACTCAATTTTCCAAAAGGTTAAAAGGTTATAATTTGTTTCCATTACCAAGAACTCACACACCACCATAATCATCAGAATACTGAAACCTTAGATTCCGTAACTCACATAGCTGTCTTAACCCATACAGCTGACCACAAATATTAGCCTCCAAGATGAGTATTCATCCTACTGATAATATAGATCCCTCCTAAACATAAACTATCATTTTTGTGTAATTGAATATGTGAGAAAGAGCAGTTAAAGTGTGTTCTTCTTAGACTAACATTTAAATGTATGTTTGCATAAGCTTCTTTAATGTAACTTCTCATCTGCTTTATATCAAACTATATCACTTCAGTTCTTAAAAGCCTATCAATAATTTGGTATCATATAGACAAAAACTCCAATTAGACTGGTGAGTTGAATGTTTCATACTGCTTTCAAGAACACGCAAGTGGGGGCTCAGTGTGGTGGCTCACACCTGTAATCTCAGCACTTTGGGAGGCCGAGGTGGGTAGATCGCCTGAAGTCAGGAGTTCGAGACCAGCTTGGCCAACATGGGGAAACCCCATCTCTACTAAAAATACAAAAAATTAGCCAGGCGTAGTGTCAGGTGCCTGTAATCCCAGCTACTCGGAAGTCTGAGGTTGGAGAATCGTTTGAACCCAGGAGGCGGAAGTTGCAGTGAGCCAAGATCACGCCATTGCACTCCAGCCTGGGCAACAAGAGCGAAACTCCACCTCAAAGAAAAAAGAAGAAAAAAAAAAAAAAAACGAACATGCAAGTCTTAAGTTTCTTTCTGACTAATGTGAGGAGGAATCAATTTGTAAAATATTGTGGAGCAAGGTGATCAAATGTTAGCCAAACAATTAGCAGTCTACTTACTGTCTACTATTTGGGCATCACACTATGTGGGCCTTGGGTTTCTTCTACATATCTATTAAATCTCATAGTCTTAGATTTAAAGGAGAAAGACAGAGAGTGAACTAGAAGCACAATGTGTCAGACACACCTATAGTGAATAAACTTGAGTTGTATCTTAATTTTCTAACACCAACTCCCTTAGAAATTATATATCTGTGATTGATATATATATATATATATAAAATGGGGCATTGACTATATTTCTACTGTTGGTCAGGATAGACTCGAATATGCTATGGTAACAATAAAACCCAAAAACCAGTGGTTTTAGGCAAAAGTGGTTTATTTCTTACTCATGCTGCAACACTTCTGATTCATATTGGCAAGGATCTATGTTGATGGATTCCCTATCATGTTATGACACCCTTTCTCAACATAAAGCTTCAAATTTATTGAAGATGTGAGAAGGAATTATGGAAAAATCAAGTATAAAATTCAAGCTTCTTTCATAATTTGTCCCAGAAACAATAAACACCATTATCAAACAGAGCTCATTGATCTGAATTAGTCACATGACCCTACCTAGCATAAAAAGACCTAGGAATCAGCTGGGTGTGGTGGCTCACGCCTGTAATCCCAGCACTGTGGGAGGCCAAGGCGGGTGGATCGCTTGAGGTCAGGGGTTCGAGGCCAGCCCGACCAATATGGTGAAACCCCATCTCCACTAAAAAACTATAAAAATTAGCCACACGTGCTGGTGAGCACCTGTAATCCCAGCTATTTGGGAGGCTGAGGCAGTGGAATCGCTTGAACCCAGGAGATGGAGGTTGCAGTGAGCCCAGATAATGCCACTGCATTCTAGCCTAGGCGACAGAGTGAGACTCCATCAAAAAAAAAAAAAAAAAAAGACTTAGGAGTCATTATGTTCTATTTTTGTAGTCAAGGAAAGAGAACTTAGAATGCTGATGGGCACTATTTATGTTTCTACACCTACTTAATCAATGTAGATATAGTAGAAGATCTTTATACTTTCATCAGTTTGGAATGGTCTTCTGCCCTTTTCAATGTGCCCAAGCATTTACGGCCCAGATCAAATGTTACTTCATTCATAAAATTTTCCTGGATATTCCTAGCTTTAAGATACAGTTCATGATCCAGAATTCATAGTCCCAGTGTGTATCCCTTATGCTGTACTTCTACTTCTTCCTTCAACAGTTATATGTACATCTTATCCCTAACAGATAGAGATGGTCATCTCTTTGAGGACAGAGATCATGCCTCATTCCTTTGAATTGTCTTCTCCCATTTTTCCTCCAGCAAATTCCTAGCATCGTCTTTACCATGGTAGGTCTATAATAAGGGTTTTGTTAATTGGGTGAGGGAGGAGGTTGACAAAAATATCATGGAAAAATTATTTCTGGCTGCCAAAAGTCGAAGTTTTCTCTTACTTATACTGAGAGATAATAATTCCCTAAGATGGATTTCCTCAAAATAGGTCAAGCATATAAGATGTTCTAAATATATACTTGATTCATACATTAATAATTTATTTGTTGCATACCATGTGAAAATCATACATGAAACCATGGGAGATCCAAAAGAAATCAACATAAATCCAACTTAAGCATTTAGCACTCTAACTGGAAGATTGCAAGCCATAGAAACTCATTAGTTCATTAATTTAATAAATAGATTAAATATATAACACATATATATTTAATATATAATAAATATATTTGGCTGGTTACTGTTTGCCAGTTAATGTGGACAAAGTGGAGAGAAAAAGCAGATGTAGTCACAGAAGTCATGGAGCCATGGAGCTTACAATGTAGAAGGGGAAAAGTTAGACAAACAATTCATTATAATAATGACTATGAAAAAGAAAGAACACGTGGTTATGAGAGCATCTGGAGAAGGCTGAGGGCAGAACAGAGATCAAAAAAAGACAAGAAAATGTTTCATTTATGCAAGGTTTAGTGGACATGACTAATGCCCACCAACCTTCTTCTTCTTGAATACTTGGGCAAATTATACTTCCAGAAATAAGTACTTTAAAAGTGTTGCATGATTTTTCATGCTGTCTTTCTCTGTGCAGCTATTGAAGGGTTACATGTTAAGATGGAAGTATCACAAGATGGAACAACTGGAAAGCGACACATTAATGACAGCAGTTCATGACAGACAGACATGTCAATCCACGATAGGCTTGTGTGAATGAGAATAAAAAGCTTGTTATGCCAAGTCACTAAGATTTAGTCTTTTTGTTTTAATGCATCATAACATAACCTATCTGGATTAATACACAGAGACTCAAAAGGAGAAACAGTGATTAGCTAAATGAAAAGAGCAGGAAAGGGGAGAAGAGCTGCTGTGTTAAGCAAAAGAATCAACTGTGACAAAGGCCTTGGGTCAGAGATAACAGGTGCTTTTGAGAAACTGAGTAGATTTAACTTCATGATTTAAATTTCTGCTAAAGCATGTAAGTAACGAGTTTCTAGAAATTTTGTTCAAAGTGGTCTTTTAGCCCTAAAATTTTGATAACTGCTAAAGAGATGCAAGGTATATATTGAATGTACAGTTATGCAACTTAAGGAGAAAGTATCTCCATAATACCTTCAAAATATTCATTAAAAACAAATGCCTGAAATAATTACTAATTTCTTTAAATAGAAAAACTTGCTTACATTAAATATCTTGCTTTACTGTTTAGATAATAAACTAAATCCAAACAATGCATTTTTCTGGAAGATTAAACATTCTTATTTTATACATAAATAAAATAAAGCTGAACTTTTTCTATTTGGTTATTTCCTATCTTCTGAGTGCATAAACCAGAAAAATATAAGGGGGAAGGAACAGACATTTTACACCAATGTACAACCACAACTTAATTAAAAATAAATCTAATTTACTATTAAGAAAACTAGACAACAATTATCCTCTGCATAATTGTTTTAAAGTAAAAAGTATCTTATTTTACTTTATTTCATATTATTATTAAAAAAATTTTACGCTATTCAAATTCTGATAAACACTAGCAATGTTTTACAAATTTTTAAATCTTGAACAAAAGAAATTTTAAAACTATAATTATTGTGGAAACAGATTAATGTTGCCAATTAATATAGTACAAGATTTGAGAACAGACATAACAAAAGACCACAAATGAAGATATGCATGAACATGCTTTAAATGGTTAATTTCTGAAACAAATAATTTCAAAAATAATACTTTTTGAAACATAGAAAAAATATTGTAAGTATGGATTAGCTTATAAAGTTAATTGTCTTAATAGTTTTATTTTCAATAAATCTCAATAAATAGACCTGCTATTAAAACACAATACAAAGTCTATTAAAGCACATTAAGGTTTACTATATACAATAGTTTTCTTTTTCCCGCAAAAATAAATGTGGAAATTCCAGGTACTAGAAATTAAGATTGACATTTATCTTTGAAACTGTAATTTTTATGCTTTCATTTCTTTAGAGAAACTATAGAAAATGGTTACAAACTTTTTAATCTGGAAGTTCTAATTTTTGAAAACTCATATACATAATTAGGTAAATAACGAAAAACTGGCATGGTCAAATATTACACATTTGCTTCTTTTGCTCGACCAACTAATTTTCTTTTAAATGTTTTTTTAACCTGGATATTCAACTTCCTATGTATAAAAAATATAATATACAAATGCATATATAAATTAGCAATTTTGAAAACTTTGAGTTGAATATATTTTCCATGAAAACAATCATACATAAAATTGACTTTTTTCTCTGAGACCGCAAGACATTGCTCTGCATCATGGCACTGCAATCATGTCATGTGCCATTGCATAGCATTGTATTATAGAGAATATTTAGGAGGTTAGGAGGTTGTGTTATGTTCTACTAAATCTATGTCATCACTTGGCTTTTGTTTGTAGTTTTAAAATTCTTCAGATTTTCTGCTATTTTCTCAGAAAGAAGTCGCCGCACAATGCCAAATGAAACTGGATACCAGATAAACAAGAAGTTCTTGGTCAGTTTACTGCATTCAATGAGATTTGAGAGCTTTAAAAACATAAAACAACCAATGTTTTGATTGTTCTCTATTCCTTATATGTCTTTTACTTCCTCTTCTCATTTGGATATCCAACACCTAAAATATTGAATGCATAATGGCTGTTTATTAATAGCTACTCTGTCCTCTTTATATATTACATATTATTTCTGAGGCTTACTGAAATAATATATAATGTAATATATAATGTAATATATATTGTAATATATAATGTAATACTTCAGGTATTAGCCTAATGCATGAAAGAAAAAACAAATAATAAAGACATTCAAAATTAAGGAAGAAATTTTCCTAAGATAATAGCAGTTAACTAATACATTTAAGAAAAAGTTTGAAAAAAATCCTTTAGAATTTTGTGCAATGAAAAATATTTCTCTTCCATTTATAATAAAAAGAAGATTTATCATGTAATTGATTATTCCATACACTATCATTATTTACAGTTTATTAATAAGAATGGACTAAAAATGTGAAAAAATAATTTTGGAATGCCCTTAGGGTCTTTGTGATTTTGAGACAATCTATGTCTTCCAGTCAATGTCTTAAGATAGATGTCCTTCTCATGTATCCTTCTGTGGAGAGTGGATAGATTAGCTTGCTTCACAAACCATGCCTTAATCTCAATTCTTACTGATTATATGGTAAAAGAAAACAAATAGGCAAGTCATCAAAACTTCTCTGTATGTATCCTACCCATGTTGGAAACCATAAAATTATTTAACAGAGTCAAATGTGAAGGTGCAGATACTCAGTTTAACTGGTTCCACCTCCAACCAAGAGAAGTTCAGAATTTACATAGTCTGATTTTTTTGTATGCATATGTACAGTTACAATTTAAGTACCGGCAATGGTTCATAATTTCTCCTATTTTTATATCCATCAAAAACTCAATCAAATAATGTAAATTTCAGTACAATGGGGAAAAAAAATCCCACTTTCTCTCAAGATTTATAAGATATTTTGTATTCTGGGACTTAATTAGAAAATATTCTGGTCACAATAAAACAACGTAGCTAAATTTCAGGCTCTAAAATGGGTTTACCAATCTCAAACTTTCACTGGCAGTGTGACTCAAGGAACACTGTGAAATCTGTCTCTTCATGTCAATAAAAAAGAAAAATAGTAGTATTCATATCATGGGTTGGTTTTGTGAAATGAAATAATGTAATAAAGTACTTAGAACCCTGCCTGAGATAGAGTAGTATCACCAGCGCAAACACACACACACACACACACACACACACACACACACACACACACACGTTTAACTCCGCAATGCGCCATTAGGGCTGCTTTATGTTCCACCCTCTCCATGAATCTTTTTCCAAACTTTCTAGCCTCTGTAAATATGTCTCTACTCTTCATTTATATAGCACATATTTGTGCATGCTAGTATACCCGAAATTGTAGTAAGGAAATGTTGTGGAAGATATTAAATGGCAGGCTGACGAGATTATTCTTAGTTCAGAGGCAAGGCTTAGCCATTAAAATCTTTTGAACAAGAGTAAATTCTAGAAGTGTAATTCCTAAGCTAAAGAGCATTTATATTTTATACTCTTACATGTCTTGCCAAGTTTTCCTCCTGAAAGTTCTAACAGTCTCGACTGGAATCAATAATGCATCTATAAATGTAACACTTGTTTAAAAATCAGCATTTAGTCTTAAAAAGCAAGCTTTTTCCACCCTTTAAGGGGACACTCTGTTGGGTCAGATTCTAAATCAAGGAGCACTTCCTAAAGTGGGTTCCTGTAGGAGATATTCAGGACATCGACCAAATAAGCTTGGAAAATTGCTTAGTCAAGTAACTTTTATAGGCATCTTTATTGCAGGCCTCCTCAGACCCCTTAATATGCTAGAGTATGCTGTAAATCTTTAAAAGAGCTATATAGTGGGCCACGTTTCTCAAACACATTTGGCTGTAGAATCTTTTTCCCAGATCATTTCAAAGAAATAATGTTTCATAGAATACACTGGGACATGCTATTTGGTACCTTTAATTTTGTCACTTACTCATACATCAGCTAATATTACTATCTGTTTCACATAGAAAATTGATTGCCTCTCCAATATGATGGGAAGCCACTTACCTTGTCTTACTTATTCTGCGTAACAACTAGCACAGTATACACTGCAGAAAAGGTGTACAATAAATCTTTGCTGATTAGCTGACAGATTACACCTTTAAAAAAAGAAAATTATATATGCAAGAAGTTCAGAGTACATAAGAAAGTCAGCCATTTTCATCTTTTTAACTAAGGAAAGTACTTTTTGCTTTTATCACACACCGAAGTGTCATTAAATGCTATAATACATTAACAGTGACTGTTTTTCTCTCTAACTAAAATTAAGCAAACACTTGCCATAGCACTTTTTTTTAACTTTATTGCCAACATATTAGTCTTAAACAAAACGCATTCCAATAAATGCTCCATCTTACAATTTTAATAACTCAAAAACACTTGGGGTCTCAAAACATTCATAATAGCTTATTTGTGAGAGATAAAAGTTATTTTTCATGTTTAAAAAAGATTAGCTTTAAGTTGGAAAGGCTGCAATGAAATTATTCACATAATGGTATGGTGGTTAACAGACACCAAGGAGTCAATTCAATTCATAAGTATGAGAGCTGTAAAAGACCATAGGGTTAGTATGTGCTATGACTACCAAGACCAACATTGACTCTTTCCCTAAACATCTTTTAAAATACCGTTAGCCTAATAAGCTTCTTTATTACATAGCCAAATATTGCTTGAGGAACTGAAAGGCAATGAGTCAAATCACAACTGTTGTTGCACACCACTGTAGAAGAAACAAATATTACTAAATATCTGCTTAGAAGGCAACACATTTTCAGTAATCAAAGCAGAGGCCTAAAAGTCAAATATGTTTTTGCCTACTTGTCTATTGCCTGATGGAAGCACATTATGCTGCTTGTTTTAAAGTACAGTATATCTCTAGTTGGGGACCTTTTGTGCAATGCTTAAATTTCCTACACAAGATAAATACTATATTTATTATTTTAGTAAAAGCTAAAAAAAAATTAATTATCTCAAATGTTCTTCTTCTGTAAGATACAGGTAAAAATTCTTGATCGTCTACTGTGAGGACCACCGCATTTCACAGATGTCTCTATAGTCTACGGTCCTTCGCTCTACCAGCTGAGCTATCAAAGGGTGCAGGAGCACCCCATTTCAAACAATATAATTCGCTTAACACTTAACCTCCTTTCTCAGTGTGAAAACAGAGACTTATGCAAGATAAGTGACTTTCTTAAAGTTTTACAGCAAGTAAGTGACAAGTCTGGGTTTCAGGTTCAGAGGTGGCCTGGTTTTAAGCCTGTCTTTTTTCTTCCTCTACAACATGCTGGCTGTCCTTCACATTTTTATGCCCTCCCACAAAGTCTGCCATTTAGCATTATAATGTTTCCTATTAAATATGAAGATTTGTTAAATAAAAAATTAAAAGTGATGAAGATAAGTACCTTAATTTAATGTATTCAATTAGAGCAGAGAACAGAAAACATATCCAGAAAATAAGGCAATAGACTATTGCCTATGTAGTGACCTGAGAATTTGCCCAATTTGCTCCATGAAAGAAGTCTAGCTGGGAATACAAAAATACATACTGTTAATTATCAGTGTCAAAACATAGACTGTGTTTCAGCATATGAATTTTTCCAACATAGTAAAAAGATGTGTTATCACTGAACATATATATATATTAAGGGTTGACAAGGCCAACTTGTTAAACAGATGAGGATATTCAGTTTTTATATACTTGCCTTTTGCTGGGAAGGCAGCCAAATTTCTAACTGAATCTATGAAAGTCTATATTTTATTATAGCTACATGCATATAAATGAACAGTGTATAAATTATAGGCAGTTTCCTTTTAGTTTATTTAAACTGTAAAGGATTACTGTACCATTAAGAAAACATTCTCAGGTCTTAGGTTTAAGTCCTTAATCCATATTTTGAGTTGATTTTTGTATAAGGTGAGAGATGAGGATCCAGTTTCATTCTCCTACATGTGGTTAGCCAATTATCCCAGTATCATTTGTTAAAAAGGGTGCCCTTTCCCCACTTTATGTTTTTGTTTGCTTTGTCAAAGATCAGTTGGCTGTTAAGTACTTGGCTTTCTTTCTGGTTCTCTGTTCTGTTCCATTGGTCTATGTGCCCATTTTTATACCAGTATCACACTCTTTTGGTGACTATGGCCTTATAGAATAGTTTGAAATCTGGTAGTGTGATGTCTCCAGATTTGTTCTTTTTGCTTAGTCTTGCTTTGGCTATGCGGCTTCTTTTTAGGTCCCATATAAATTTTAGAATTGTTTTTTCTAATTCTGTGAAGAATGATGGTGGCATTCTGATGGGGATTGCATTGAATGTGTAGATTGCTTTTGGCAGTATGGTCATTTTCACAATATTGATTCTATCCCTCCATGAGCATGGGATGTGTTTCCATTTGTTTATATCATCTCAACTCAAGATGGATTAAGGACTTAAACCTAAGACTTGAAACTATAAAAGTTCTAGAAGATAACATTGAAAAAACCCTTGCAGACATTGGCTTAGGCAAGGATTTCATGGTCAAGAATCCAAAAGCAAATGCAGTGAAAACAAAGATAAATAGCTGGGACCTAATTAAACTAAAGAGCTTTTGCATGGCAAAAGGAACAGTCAGCAGAGTAAACAGACAACCCACAGAGTGGGAGAAAATCTTCACAATCTGTACCTCTGATAAAGGACTAATATCCATAATCTACAACAAACTCAAACAAATCGGTAAGATAAAAACAAACAATCCCATCAAAAAGTGGGTTAAGGATATGAATAGACAATTCTCAAAAGAAGATGTACAAATGGCCAACAAACATATGAAAAAATGCTCAACATCATTAATAATCAGGGAAATGTAAGTTAAAGCCACAATGGGATACCACCTTATTCCTGCAAGAATGGCCATAATCAAAAATCAATAAACAGTACATGTTGGCGTGGATGTGGTAAACAGGGAACACTTCTACACTGCTGGTGGGAATGTAAACTAGTACAGCCACTATAGAAAACCGTGTGGAGCTTCCTTAAAGAACTAAAAGTAGAACTACTGTTTAATCCAGCAATCCCACTACTGGGTATCTACCCAGAGGAAAAGACATCATTATTCTTAAAAAATACTTGTACATACATGTTTATAGCAGCACAATTCACAACTGCAAAATTGTGGAACCAACCCAAATGCCCATCAATCAGCCAGTGGATAAAGAAACTGTGGTGTGTGTATGTGTGTGTGTATAAATATTTGATGGAATCCTATACAGCCATAAAAAGGAATGAATTAACAGCATTTACAGTGAGCTGGATGAGATTGGAGACTATTATTCTAAGTGATGTAAGTCAGGAAAGGAAAAACCAAACATTGTATGTTCTCACTAATATGTGGAAGCTAAGCTATGAGGATGCAAAGGCATAACAATGATACAGTGGACTCTGGGGACTTGGCGGGAAGAGTGGGAGGGAGGCAAAGGATAAAAGACTATAAATATGATGCAGTGTATACTGTTTGGGTGATGGGTGCACTAAAATCTTGCAAATCACCAATAAAAAACTTACTCATGTAACCAAGTACCTCCCGTACCCCAATAACCTCTGGAAAAATAAAATAAAAAGAAAACATCCTCTGTTCTACCCTCTTTCAGGAACTGAAGATTTCTTCAAAAATTATACCATGTCGTTTTAGAATTTCAATATTTCTATGAGTCTACATAAAACAGCGACCTTACTTTATTCTCAAAAAAACTTAAAGAGACATGTTATCATCACTTTATACATTTCCACAGTGCATATCTTTGTTGAAGGGGTAATTTAACATTATGATCTTGTTCTATTCCACTTTCACTCTTTCATAAATGGTAGAATTGCTACACAGCTAGCTCAAAACACCAGTGTTTCTATATAGTTTAGATTGGGATATTCAATTTTTAAATAAGGAAATATATGATATTTTGCTTTTTACTATTAACCCTAAAAGGAAAACTATATTAGAGAAATTATAAGTTTAACATTAAATGAGTTCTTTAAAAAATAATATTTAAGGGGGACCTCCTCTTTCGGCTCTGGATCCCCCTCTCCCTTCCCTGTCTCCATATGGGGGAGCCTCTTCCTTCTGCTTTCTTCTTCCTTCTTGGCTATTAAACTATCTGCTCCTTAAAACCACTCCATGTGTGTCCGTGTCGTTTTATCTAAACTGGCATGAGGACCAAGAACCCTGGTGTTCCTCCAATCGTTGGAGCCATATCACTTGTGTCTATGATTCATCTGGAGTTAATTTTTATGCAGGGTATGATATAAGAATCAAAGTTTTCTTTTTAAAAAATACAGATATTCAGTTGTTTCAGCACTATTTGTTGAAAAGATTATCCTTCCCCAATTGAACTACCTATGCATCTTATAATTACCTTTGGTTATCTTGTAATCTCTACTTAGGGCTGTGCTCAACTTTTCATTCATAAAATTGTTTATTTCTGTGATCTCTTTTCTTCTCTTGATCGGTCTTGCAAGCAATTTGTCTATTTTGTTGATTTGTTTCCAAAGAACAAATTTTTTGATTTGTTGATCTCTACCTTATCATTTTTTCCCTATTGTACTAACTTTCACTTTCATTTGTATTATCTCTTCCTTTTTAATTCATTGGATTTACTCTCCTGTTCAATTAATATAATGTTTTAAGATAAATACTTATCTGACCAATGATCATAGTTTTATTGCTAATATAAGTTATTAAGGATAAACATTTCTCTCACAGCACTACTTTAATCATATCTCACAAATTCTGGTAAGGACTTACTCCTATCTAAGGTGTCTGGGGAGTCATGGCCTACAAATCACAAATTCGCATCAGACAGGTTGGGTTTTATTTAACCCTATATATCATTATTTACTTTCCAACCTGACTCTGGCATAATATTACAAGATAAAGAAGAACATCAAAATATTTTACTCAAAAACATGCTTCTTAGCCATATTTTGAAATGCCCCTGCAAAGCTGTTCTTTGTGGGGAAAAATTTGCATCTATGAAGAATCTGTATTAACATAGCTAGATCTTTTTCTTCCAGACACTCCCAATCCTAAAGAGATTACCTAAAATCTAAACAGGAAACATCTGTCATCCTATTGTCTCTAAGGACAGCCACTATAAGACTTCAAAAGAACTTTGTGCTGCACAATCTTTATTTTTAAGCTGAACATTACCTTTTTATCAATCCTGGGTCTTTAGAAAAACTCAACCAATTGTCAAACAGAAAATATTTAAATTCACCATAGCCTGGAACCTCTCACACCCCTTTGAGTTGTTCCGCCTTTCTGGACCAAACCAATGTATTTCTTAAATGTATTTGATTGATGTCTCATGCCTCTCTGAAGTGTATAAAACCAAGCTGCACCCCAACCACTTTGGGTACATGTTCTCAAGACTTCCTGGAGGCTGCGTCATGGGCCATGGTCACTCATATTTGGCTTAGAATAAATCTCTTGAAATATTAAAATAAAAATAAAATAATAATATTTAATGGAAAGACTGTAACAAGTGAGAGGGTGTCAGACAAGAAAAAAACAGCAAAGCAAGAAAATAGTAGTAGTACTACACACATGAAAATCATTATTTACAGTAATCATAGGAAAGATATTGTGACAAAACTTGAAGCTAGAAATTTTCTTAAGTGTGACAATGTTATTAAAGGAGTGAATTTCTTGAAAACGACATTTAAAATATAATGATTCTTTATAATACTTAGTATTGAGATGTAGGTGATCATAAACGCCATTTATGCCACACAGAGCTTTGCTGATTATTTTATGGCAAAAAGAAAAAAAAAGTTGTTGATTGAAAAAAAGTTAATACTATGAAGAGAATGTCGTAAAAGTGGATGTTTAGAAATATTTTAATTATTGACATATTTGACAGCATTTTGAACACATTTGCCAGAAATGTTTAAGTTTAGCATCATGTGGCTACTTTACAAGAATAACTGATTAACTTCAAGTGAGATGGAAATGCATCAGTTGAATTTCATTAAAAATGTTGGCATAATTTTTAGCCAACAATTTATTTTCCACTTAGATCTATATATTTTTGTGAGGAAGCATTTTTCAGTCATACAGCCATTAAAATCAATAAATCAAACTATAGAATCAGATCTTCTACAATTCAAAATGTTTAACAAATTTTTAAAAAATAATGGTTCATACTCAATTGCATTACCTATTTCTGTTTTAGCCAAAACAAAAATACCATACTGTATATACATATACCATACCATATAAACATACCATGAATGAAACTAAGTTTATTATTTAATCTTTATCTTATTCTTTTAATTTTATACCTTACATATTTTATAATGCATATAATATAGAACAGGTATATAATTAATAAATGAATATAATGGCAGTATCCTTAAAGATATTTTAAGTATTCATGTATGTGTGTATATATATATATATATATGTATGTATCTTTTTTTACAAATAGAGGTATTCAGTGATAAAGCTTTTAGAAGAATATTTGTATAAATGATACTTCTGGAGACCAACTTTTTAGATGCTGTTTCCATTGGGTATCTCACTAGCTCTGCTTTACTGTACAACAATACTTAGTTGAAAATACCAATAATTGTTCTATAAACTCAATTCAAATTCAGTCATTGATCATAGGTGAGTTCATAAAAAATTCCACACTAATCTGAACCATTTTCCAAGCTAATCATTTTAACCAACATAAAAACAAATCATATATGATTATCTAAATTATCTTGAATGTTGTTTTATCATATAACTATAATTTAAAATGATCTTAGAAATCAGAACTACCATTTTCACTTGATCTTAGCCAATAGGCTGAGAAGCGATAAAACTACCATTTTCTATTTGAGTTTCGTTATTTCCTTACAAAGAAATGTTAAGACAATAATCTTTTTATATTTGTTTTTCTAATAATATAAATTTATTATTCATATATTTTATACATTTGGGTGTCCAAAATGCTTAATATATTGAGTTATATGAGATGTATACATACATTTTAAATAAAGATTAAATAAACTTCACCTCTCTCTATAACAGATTTTACTGTGCTAAACCTTAATTTTATTTGTGCCACTCAGAGCAATCTAATTATAATATTTTACAGAACTGTAAGGCATCTTAAAGATCTTCACTGACAGCCTCACTTAAGGAACAAGGAAGCCAAGACCAAGAAACTTGGTAGTTAAATGTCAAGAAGCCGAGTCATGTAAATCTTATCCAGTACTTTCCAATTAAACTGCATACATGGATGAGATCTATGGTCAAATTAAAGTGTAATGATTTGTTATTGGGATAGAGAATTTCCAAGGATAAATTCCTAAAGTATTTATTTTGTTGTAAGCTACTTAACATCAGAATTCCCAGTTCCAAAAGATATTTACCTGGTGCTAGAGCAACTTCCCTAAAGCCCAGATAACTGGATGTTTGTAAAAAGTCCTACAAGTTTCCTGTAATGTTACCACTTAATGCAACATGTGATTTGATAAAGTCTCCCCATGCTTTGTGTTATAAAAAAGCATAACATCTCATCTTTTGGCCGATCATTTTGTTCTTTTTTATATATCGTAGTCTATTGGATATTATTTATTGCCTGCCTGGTATCCACTATCCTTTTTTTTAGTAATAGCAGCCCTATTTTTTTGTTTAAAGATCTCCTCCTGGCCAGACATGGTGGCTCATGCCTGTAATCCCAGCACTTTGGGAGGCTGAGGCAGGTGAATCAGGAGGCCAGGAGTTCAAGACCAGCCTGGCCAACATGGTGAATCCCCGTCTCTACTAAAAGTACAAAAAATTAGCTGGGCATGGTGGCAGGTGCCTGTAATCCCAGCTACTCGGGAGGCTGAGGCAGGAGAATCACTTGAACCCAGGAGGAAGAGGTTGCATTGAGCCGAGATCATGCCACTGCACTCCAGCCCAGCCTACAGTGTGAGACTCAATCTCAAAAAAAAAAAAAAAAAAAAAAAAAAAAAACTCCCCAACTGGGATCATGATCTGACATAGCCAAACAAAATGATTGTGAGCCAATACAACACAATTACACTTTTGCTGAGAATGTGGGAACAAAGGCAGTTTCAGAAAACCTTAAGATGATGGGATTGGAAGTGCTACAGCAACATTTCAACCATGACCACCAGAAGCCTGAGAAAATCGCCATCATACCCACTCTAGTGCATCCTTGCATGATAAGCCTCCCATCTCTTTCCATAGCTGAACCCTTGACAACACTTCTTCTGTAAACCTGTGGAAGCCCTCACTCTCCTACCAAAAACAAAAGCCACTTTTTATGGACATGTTTGCCCAATAGAACCAAAACATTCCAATCCTTTGCTTAAGAAATAAGCACTTTAATGTCATTGAAATGTTTACCTATATCTCTTTAAAAATTGAAATCTTATTTTAAGTGGAATTTAAAAAAATTTAGAAGTATACTTTAAATGACAGAAAAATTTAGCCAGTTAATTAAATAAATGCATATTTCACAGAAATTCACATTTATTTCTTAAACAAGTAGCAAAAAATCAAACTACATAAATTTAAAATACTTTATGAATATTTGGTTCTTTTTTGAAAAATTTTGAACAGAATAGATGAGAGGAAGAGACTGAAATGTGTTCTGCATACAATAGTGACATTTCTACAGTCAACTCCCATGATTCATACTAAGAAAGCAAAGTAAGAGAGCAGAAAATACCAATTTGTGAATAATCCAAATATCATTTGGAATCCATGTGTTGCTTTCTATTTGATTATGAATACCCTTGATGTTTTGGAATTTACAAGCAAGACTCTGAACTAAATAACAAAGCCAACATTAATATCTAACTCAGACACATATGGAAAATTTTCCAGATTCTTCATCTTCTACCTGGAAAATTTCCAGGCAGAAATTCCATCCCAGACTAGAGAAACAAGGCAGACTTCTGAGTGTCTCCACAATTTCTTCCTAAGCTTTCAATTCAGGATAAGAAGATGGCAGCACATTTTGTTTCAAAAGATATTTTCTATGAGTTGAATTGGAGAGCTGTCTTGAAACACTTTCGACCTTCAGGTTTTAATAGTTAATTCATTTAAAAATTCAGTAACTCAGCACACACAATGTTCTAGGACTAGGAAATTAATCGCTCAGTAAAACAAATCCAATTTGCATACACTGAAGGCCTTATCTTTAAGTGGCCTTAAATCCTACTTAGCACTATCCTGGATTTAGACACATAATAACCACTGTGGTCAAGTTGGTAAGGTGTCTGTGTACATTATAAAATTTAATCCTCACAGCTCTATCTGGACAATATTATTAGCTCCATTTTTTTTTTTTTTTTTTTTGAGACAGAGTCTCGCTCTGTCACCCAGACTGGAGTGCAGTGGCATGATCTCGGCTCACTGCAAGCTCCGCCTCCCTGGTTGACGCCATTCTCCTGACTCAGCCTCCCGAGTAGCTGTGACTACAGGTGCCCGCCCCCATGCCCAGCTTATTTTTTTGTATTTTCTTAGTAGAGACGGGGTTTCACCGTGTTAGCCAGGATGGTCTCGATCTCCTGCCCTCATGATCCACCCACCTCGGCCTCCCGAAGTGCTGAGATTACAGGCGTGAGCCACCACGCCCAGCCTACAACACCATTTTATAGATGGAAAATTCACACTTGGCAAAGTTAACTAATTTACCTAAAGTCCTAAAGATGGAATGAAACATATCAGAAATGGAATTCAAAGTTTCTCTAAAATATGACACTCTTTTCAACATATCAAACTGATTTCCTAGGAAGGAGAAGGATTAAATAAAAATAATTATAATGTTATCCAGGCCAAGGATCTCTGCATAAGCATAAAGATTTCTCTGTAATAAGCTATGTAACAGTTACTTCATGGAATTGATGCATTTGCCTTAACATCTTAGTATCTTGACAAGAAAACTCCTAAGGGTAGGATAATATATAAGCTTATGAAATAAAGCAAAGAGAAATTAGACAAAATTAACAAAAAAATCAATATTTTCTATATAATCTGTTATATTAAGCTTTGCTTTATCACATTTTCTAATAATATTGAGGGATGACTTAGTCTCAGGAACGTCCTTAATTTATTTAACATTTTGTGCTTTCAGAATTTGTACTAATTGGATTAATAGACACATTTATCCTCTTGTTTTCACTGAACTTAAAGGTCTCAAAGAGCAGAAACTTATCTCATTTACTGTGATACCTTAGCAACACCCAATATACTACCTGACAGGTAGTGTGGGAAGTCAATAAACATTTGTTATATTTATTTTTCTCTTATAAACTTTAACCTGGTCTGAATTGGTCCTGTCACTGAAATAAAAATTAAGTAGTGAAACTTAAAACATGAATCTTTAAAACAGGATTACTTAGTCCTTCCAAAAAAAAAAATAATAATAATCAGTAAGGCTATTATTTGGTCTCATGTAGACATAACAACCATCTAATTGTCTAAATTTCCTACTTCATTACTTTCTTTTAAAGCATATACAATGACAAACAGGCAGAAAATTATTGTCTTCTACTTTTTTCTATTATATAGTATTTGATGCATCCAAAATAAATGTTTATGTAAGCTATGAAATATAATGATAACACTAACTCTTGTGATCCAATTTGAATCCTAGAATATTGCCATTACCTACTTTCTCCCCAACATCAGCCCCTTGCCTCCCTTCTGGGGGCATGATCCTGATTTTGTGTTTACCATTCTTCTTGCCTGCTCTTTAAAAGCAGCTTTACAACCTATTTGTATATTGCTAAATAAAACATAGCTTAGTTTTTATTCTATTTGAGCTTTACAAAAATGGAACCATACTCTATGCTGTCTTCTACAACTTGCATTTTTCTCTCCATGTTATAATCCTGTAATTCATCTTTATTTTAGCTACAATCTATTCAAATGTATGTCCACCAAATAATGTTTCATTGTATGAATAAACTATATGTTCATCTTTTTTAACTTTAAAGATTTAGGTAATTTTTTTTAAACCTAAGTTCTCAATCATTGACATTTCAAAAGAAACGTAGCCTGAATCCCTGTAGAAAAATTCTGAGAAAAATCGATAGTAGGAAATATTTCTAATGTATGAATAAAATAATATCATGGGTATTTTTAAGCATACATACAACAAATAGATATATCTCTAAGGCAATACCCAAACTATGTCTCTGAACTCAGTTAACTCTTCTGCTCCATTGATTAGCACATCTATTAAAATCAAGTGCTCTAAATTAAAGTAGCTATATTTTTGGTTAATATAAAAACATTTTTAACTAACAGATTTTCCAAACTAATAGCAATGATATATGTAATTTTCTGAAGGAGGTTCTATGAGGAGTGTATGATTTCAAGATTCCTAAAATAGTCAAATCAGTTATAAATTTTTCCAAAGTCCATGGAAAAGGAAACATCTGACTCTATGTTTAATTAAACATAGGAAAGAGTTCAGGTAAACATAGTGGTCTTAACTGCCTCCAAACTTCATGGGATGTCATAGGCTCTCCTTTCTACTTTCTCCAGAGAGTGGTCTGAATAACGCAAGTGAACATTGCTTTAATGATACTAAAAACAGAGTTTTCAGTGAATCATTCTAGCTTGATTTAGATAAAACTCAAATTTGCACAATGGTTAAGTTGATATAAAACCCTAAAATTCACTTTGTATCATACTCATTTCTGCAAACTTTCCCTCAAATCTTTACCCAATTCACAGATCCCACAAAATATGCATATAGGTTTATGCATAGCTGAATACATAAAACTATTATTTAAAATACTTCATGAGCTAACAGTATTAACATCTGCCTTTAAAATTAGAAAGCAAAGTTCGACTGATGTATATGTCATTAGTCTACGCAGTTAAGAAATGAAAGTAAAAACACCTATAAGTGACCATTTTAATTTCATTTTCATGGAACTCTGATCATGGACAACACGTATATTCATCTGCTATACATAAAGTCAAATCCATGAGTAGAAGTTTAAAAATTCTGTCCTGAAATCATATATTTAGAAATATCCATACTTTTACCATTTTAAAAACCATTTAAATTAAATATGTTTGGCACCATTTAGGCAAGAACAAATATTCTATAGGGTTCAATATTATATTAAAGGATTAAGGCAATGAGGAGGATATGGATTTTTGAATTTTAATATGAGATTAAGATTTTTCAAAAAGAAAATATTTAGTCCAACTTCTTTTACTTGGAAGAAAAAAAGTCCCACTAGTTGAACCTAGTCCTAAAACACATGAACAGTGTTTTTAACTTAAGAGCAGCCAGTGAAGGAGTTCAGCTAGTGGATGTTAAAGCCAGACTCCCTGGGCTTAGACCCCAGCTTTGCAAATGAGCTTAGACCTCATCTGTAAAATGAGAATAATTATTCTACATATTTCATTGAATGAAAGCAAGGATTAAATTGGTTAATTTATTTCAAAGTACGTATAACAATGTCAGCTCATAATGAGTACTCAAAAAGATTTATATTTTGATTACTTACTTGCAATTTGTTAATCTATGCCTATTAACAATATATTCGATCCAAATTTAAAGCCTTTTTGCATGTTTTAAGATTGACTTTTAATGTATTTAGCTTTTTAAAAAAACGTTTCTTATGGGAATGATTAGAGATCGCCACTACTTTTGCTCCATTTTTCAGATGAAAAACAAAATGTCTTCTGATTTCTAGTTTTTTTTTTTTTTTTCTAATTTCTTCAAGCAGTTTCTGTCTATACAAGTGACTCTAAGTCTTATATTCTTCAAGGTTCTATCAGAGAAGTGTTTTGACAATCATTCTCTCGTCCCCAATTTCTCTTCACTTTAACTGGGTACATTAGCTACTTACACCTTTGGGACTTTGTCAAACTAGACCAATAATTTGAGAGAACTAGTGTGTATTCAGTAAGGAAATGTCTATGCAATTATGGATAGTATTGCTCTGGCTCGTTATTTCAGTTTTCCATGTCTGGTATAATAGGACCAATCATATTTTTAGTTTAGTGCCATTGCTAATAACTACAGGAGCCACTGACACCTGAAACATTGAAGGAGAAAGAGTTGGCAAGCTGAGTCAATATGTGAAAACACTCTTCAGGCTTCCCTAAGAAAATATTAGACTGCCAGCTGCTTAACTGAGGAAAGCTTCGGCAAGTCATTTGCAACTGACATAAGTTTGAGCAACATTTTCAAAGGCAGCAACAAACGAATTTCTCTTGGCACAAAACGTGCCAGGTACTAGAAGACATGAAAGCAGAATAACTGAAAACTGGTAAAGAAAATGAAACAGAAATGTATGATAATTGAACAATGTGAGTGATTTAAAAAATGCAATCCTCAACAATTTAAGATATCAAATTGACCAAATACTAAACATAGTAATTTTTAAACTTAATGACAAGTAAAAAAACGACAAAAAAAAAAACAAAAAAAACTTAATGACAAGTAGCTCAAATGCACTTTATCAAATGAACTTGTTCCCTGAAAACAAATATAAAATGATGCTTAGTCTACCTATTTCAAAAAGTACTGACTTAACAACAAGTTTTATATCTGACTTACAAAAAATAATCACTTCTTATTCCTCTCTGCAACTCACCAGGATTGTGTCTAGGGACACATCATTTTCATACATATTTCTGATGGTATGTATGAAATGCACAGTTTACACCAGGAGGATCCTAGGCTACATAAATTCTGGGCAACTTCTTGCTAGAGAAAAAAAGTTACCTTATTTTTTTATATGTTATCTCATAACCTCCACAAAGGCTTTGTTAATGAAGGCAACATATAATAAACAGAGTATTTTATGTAATATGTTTAACTAAAGGTTCCATTACTAAATCCAGTGTGTCAACTACTGATTCAGTTTATATCTCTCTATATATGTAATATATATAATGTATTACATATTTTATATATAGTAGCCACCCTAGTATAATTTATATTGTTGTTCTTTTTCTTAAATACATGACAAACATTGAATAGGAAATTTTCTTTTCAGTTTAAAAGGTATTTCAGATTAAAAAATACAATCTGAAAAAAATTACCAAAAAATCCTATGGTGTTAAAATCTAAATTATGATATAATGCATTTTTCTGACTTTCCTATTGTGGCAAATTTTGCTATAGTCATATAATAAATCAGAAAAAAATATAGAAATGTAGTTCACCAACCTGGCAACATGATTCATATCCTGATACTTGAGTGTAATAATTTATGCCAGACTTAGTATCCCTGTTTAAACATACGATTTTAAATATGTGTTGTGTATGTCTCAGGAAAGTATGCTAAACACAGTGCAATATTTCAGTTGTTTCATGGATCAGTGCAATAACTTAAGTAGGACCAAAGATAAATATGCAATTTAGAATATGACCCATTTTCCACTTTATACATATTATATTGATATGTAGTGTTAGTTTACTCATCTATAAAATAAATGTAGTATTTAGAAATATCTGGTTGTCGATTTTGTATAAATTATAGGATAAGTCTCTGAATTAAACAATGATGCTACAAGTCACTTTCTCCATAGTTTGAACCTTCCAGATAGTCTCTACATAGTATTTCTAGATAAGCCTACCTTGTCTTCCCACAACCTCCTGCTGCACCATCTTGTTTGCTTCTACAATCTATCCTAGTGTTCTAGCATGGAAGAAGGCATAGAGTTTGGTTGGCAAAAAGGTCCTAAGCAAGGTCAAACTTATTACTAATTAAGAAACAGGGAAAAGTGTTAAAAGAACATGAGGAATTTTGTTCAAGCCATAGAAAGAGAAGACAGAAACACTCTAAAATTTACATAAATCATGAATGTAATAAATGTAAACTGCAAAATTTACAAAGTTACCCCTTTTGACCATCATAAATCTCAGCAAAACATCCAGAAGAATGTCAAAACTAGAGCAACATAGCTTTTTTGGAAGCCTGTCAGGAAAAACTAAATATAAAATGTATGCCTAAGGAATGGAATTGATTTGCTTTTTTCGGTTAATCACTTGAAGCTGGGATGTCTACCAAAAATGATGACTTTGGATAGGATGACATATTATTTAAAATTGTCTTTAAAAATCAATAAGATGCAACAAATTGTAGGACAGTGCCTCTTTCCCCCCTTCTTCCTCCTTTCTATTCATAGCCAAATGTCTTGAAAAGGAGTAGTCTACACTATCTGTGCTCTCACCTCCTGCTCATCAATTTATTTATACCTTTTCCTCACAACTCCATTGTAACTGTTATCAGCAAGATCAGTAAGTATTTATCTCTATGCTAAACAAAACAAATGCTCATTAAAAACAAAACAAAAAAAACACTTAAGGTATTTGACTTCTCTGCAGAGTTTGACATGACTGACCACTCCCTTTCTTCTTAAACTTTGTCTTTCCCAGGCACCAATAATGCCACAGTAGTCTCCTGGTTTTCCCCTATTTGGTTAACTCCTTGCTTCTCATCACCTACAGCACATAACCCCCACCTCCATCTGTTATTCCTCAATAGAGCAGCCATCCTGTGTCGGGGAAGAGAATGAGAATAGGAGCTGGGGAGGGAGATGGCAAATGCAGCTTGAAAAAGTCCTGAAGTCCTCCATAGAATTTATTTATACTCTAGAGTATCCTGCAATCTTCCACTTTGAGTGAGATAATGAAAACCCTGAACTAGAATGATGGCAAGGGGATTAATAATAGTAGAAAGTAAGTTTTTTGCCATTGAAAAACTGTAATTGTTTATTTGGTCTTTAGTGTTTCAATTCGCACACTGAATTGGAACCCATTCACCAATACCTGACAGCTAGATATCCTATCAATCTCTTCCCAAAAGGAATCACTTTTAATAATTGAGTATCACTTTACTGTTCTTCAAAGTAATTATGATAACACACAGGAATTATAAAATGCATTAATGAATATATAATGCAATTACATATATATTCTTATACTTTTACATAATGTAATACTTTCAATATCTTGTCTAAATCATTTATTTTCATTTTTTATTTTCTATGTCTCGGAAATCTTTTTATTTCAGTGCATTCACATTCACATTGCATGACTACATACACCAAGATTCATTTAACTTCTCGCTAATGATGGATATTTAAATGTGTCTAAAGTTAACTATTATAAATAATGCTCAAATGAACATCTTTGTGTATGTGTGTATATATATATCTTTTTGTACCAATGCATTTCTGTAGCATATGTTCCCAGAAATGATATTGCTGACTCAATGGGAATGTACCTTTCAATATGTATTAGGTGGTACCAAATTGCTTCATAGATATGTTTTAATAATGAATATTTTTACCAACAGTGTAGGAGAGTACCTGCTTCCCTATATCAATTTCATTAATTTTGCAAAATTACAAGCGTGTAATATTTCCTTATTGTATCAGTTATTATCACAATATTACAGATGAGAAAACTAAAATTCAAAGATGCTAAGGAACTGGCCAGCACAGTGGCTCTTGCCTGTAATCCCAGCACTTTGGGAGGCCAAGGTGAGCAGATCACTTGAGGTGAAACCAATATTCTGAAACCTCATCTCTACTAAAAACACAAAATTAGCAGGGCATGGTGGCACACATCTGTAGTCCCAGCTACTCAGGAGGCTGAGGTGGGAGGATCGCTTGAACCCAGGAGACGGAGGTTGCAGTGAGCAGAGATCAAGCCAGGGCACTCCAGCCTAAGTGATAAAGTGAGACCCTGTCTTGGAAAACAAAACAAAACAAAACAAAAACATGCTAAGGAACTTTCCCATGGTCACATAGCTAATCAGCATTAGAGCCAGGTTTCAAATCAGGTTACTATAGTTCTTTCTACAGATCCTGTTACTTTAAAACAAAACAAAAAAGTACAAATGGATAAGCCAGATGCAGAACCTGTAGGACATGTTGACTGGTAATTGCCTCACTTGTCAATTTGAATGTAAAGCCCATCAGAATACATCTATACACAATGAAGTGTGGCCATTGAGTGGATAAATGTGACATATGTTGCCATTTAAGTATCTGTGCAGCAATTATGCAATCTGCAGTCACAAGCAAGATAACTGGTATAAGTAATTTGACAAAAAAATGTTTACTATAATGATTTCAAAGTTCATACAATATGCATTATATTAACTGATCTTTGAATTTTTATTAATAACATAGTATAGAAAAATGAAACTGGTTTCAGTCCTCAAGATCCCTTGGTAGTTTTGAAAATTGTCTAAAATGAGATGTTTAGAAAAGTTCTCCCTATTTAGTGGAATTTTTAAAATCCTCTCCCAAATTTGTTTGCATAGAATCACACATTAATGCTGAAATACAGATTGAAGTAGCTGACAGGTTTCCTCAGATACTTATTTTGTTGTAGATGGTTCTTATATGCTTGTCAAGGGATTTGGTTCTCAAGCTGAGAAAAAAATCACTGTCATTAATATTCAAAAGTAATTCAGCATTATAATTATCTCAAGATATGTGGTAATCCCCATTTTTGAGAAAAGAACAATTTGAAGAAAGTTATCAGAATTTTTGAAGTACTGTTAATATTAATAAGACTAATTATAATAATAAATAGCATCAAGCACAGTCAGTGAACTAAACATTTGGAATAACTTATATTCATTTATACTAAAACCTTGCAAGGTAAATATTGGTAAACTGAATTTACAAATATATTCAATCTGATCAGGTCATAGAGCTGAGTTGGAATCTAAACCCTGGTTGTGAAATATTAATAACATGAAGTCAATAAACATAAATACAAGTCTTTGAAGGATAATAATTTCCAAACAATAATTTTAGTCTTATATAGTTGCTTTTATAGTATGTACTTTCCTTCCGTCAATTATAGAAGACAAGGGTACTACCAAGAAAAAACAAGTTCACGCTTTTTCTTCTAAGCTCTAGTTGACCTATTTTAAGTTTATTAATAATTAGAGACCGAAAACTTTGAGTATATTAAAATTCATCATGATCATGTTGAAAATCATTCACCAAAAGTAGTTATCTGCAAAGTCACGTTAACTTAAAAGTTAGTTAACTCTCTGCTCCATTAAATTTAGTTCTATAAAAGAACAGCATAGTTATCTAGAAAACCTATAGATTACTCTAAGTCTCAGCAATATTTAAAAAAATATCTTATTCACATAAATCCCACATATCTGTGAATCATAAATTCTAACTTATCATTATGATTATAGACCTATACTTAGCTGAGAATCTTGAATCCCTAAACTCATTTGGTTTTTAAAAATTTAACCACAACAATTGGTTTTCTTTGGGAAAAAAACACAACCTTTCTATGTATACATAATCAATACTGACATTTTGATATAAGATAGAACTTACTTTAAGGCCTTTAATCCAGAATTTACCATTATGTAAATTAACTCCTGTGTCAAAGCATTTCACTTTACAGTGTTTCAAGTTCTTATATCCATATGTGATGTTAAAATTACAGCAAATCCAAGAGCCAGAAAGTACACATTATATAAATGTTATACTACCTATAACATAAATGACACCTATAATATCATAAAAAAACAAGGATAGCCAATCTGGCCCTTTCTGCTGCTTAAAATATCAGTTCACTTTTGCCCTATCACCCATTAACTGATTAAGAAAGTAAACAAATATTCACTGGAAACCAACTGATTGCCAAGCACTGTTGTAAGCTTTCCAGCATGGTCCCCACCCTAATGGATCTTACAACGCGTATATGCTTACACTAAGCTAATAAACCTAACATAGTATATAAGTTATACTATATTAGGCATAGTATATACTATGACTTAAATCTAACACAAATAATATACTCCAATTTGAAAACAACAAATTTAATGGCAGAAATCAGAAAAAAAGTTAAATGTTAACTATTACAAATTAGCAATGATTTCTGGAAACTTAACTTTCTCCAAAAGGAAACAAAATAGGATAAAATAAAAAGATAAGGTAGGAAATTTAAGAATCATAAAATCAAAGCACATTAAAAAGTACTTAAATATCATTGCCACTTTTATAAACCAATATAGTCCTAAGCTTTATTTGCTGCAGAAGTAATTCAATGTTCTAAAACAAATAAAGCCTTATGTTATGACAGCTATAAAATGTACTAACATATCAATAAAAAAATATAAAGTTCCCTGGAGAAAAGAGTACTTTTTCTTTCAATAGCATATTTTAGATTCACCAAAGCATTTTTATTCGGTAAGCGTAAGAAAATAGCAATGCTATTTTAAATATTATCAACTTTTCCTAAATCAGACTTCATCATCACATATCAAAGTCTTTTGTGAACACACCTATCTTACAGTATTTATAACAGTATTAATAAAAAATAAGGTTGTCTAACGTTTAAGTCTTTAATCCATCTTGAATTAATTTTTGTATAAGGTGTAAGGAAGGGATCCAGTTTCAGCTTTCTACATATGGCTAGCCAGTTTTCCCAGCACCATTTATTAAATAGGGAATCCTTTCCCCATTGCTTGAAACATTAGACCTAAAACCATAAAAACCCTAGAAGAAAACCTAGGCATTACCATTCAGGACATAGGCATGGGCAAGGACTTCAGGTCTAAAACACCAAAAGCAATGGCAACAAAAGCCAAAATTGACAAATGAGATCTAATTAAACTAAAGAGCTTCTGCACAGCAAAAGAAACTACCATCAGAGTGAACAGGCAACCTACAAAATGGGAGACAATTTTTGCAATCTACTCATCTGATAAAGGGCTAATATCCAGAATCTACAATGAACTCAAACAAATTTACAAGAAAAAAACAAACAACCCCATCAAAAAGTGGGCAAAGGATATGAACAGACACTTCTCAAAAGAAGACATTTATGCAGCCAAAAGACACATGAAAAAATGCTCATCATCACTGGCCATCAGAGAAATGCAAATCAAAACCACAATGAGATACCATCTCACACCAGTTAGAATGGCAAGCATTCAAAAGTCAGGAAACAACAGGTGCTGGAGAGGATGTGGAGAAATAGGAACACTTTTACACTGTTGGTGGGACTGTAAACTAGTTCAACCATTGTGGAAGTCAGTGTGGCGATTCCTCAGGGACCTAGAACTAGAAATACCATTTGACCCAGCCATCTCATTACTGGGAATATACCCAAAGGACTATAAATCATGCTGCTATAAAGACACATGCACACGTATGTTTATTGCGTCACTATTCACAAGAGCAAAGACTTGGAACCAACCCAAATGTCCAACAATGATAGACTGGATTAAGAAAATGTGGCACATATACACCATGGAATACTATGCAGCCATAAAAAATGATGAGTTCATGTCCTTTGTAGGGACATGGATGAAATTGGAAATCATCATTCTCAGTAAACTATCACAAGGACAAAAAACCAAACACCACATGTTCTCACTCATAGGTGGAAATTGAACAATGAGAACACATGGGCACAGGAAGGGGAACATCACACTCTGGGGACTGTTGTGGGGTGGGGGGAGGGGGGAGGGATAGTATTAGGAGATATACCTAATGCTAAATGATGAGTTAATGGGTGCAGCACACCAGCATGGCACATGTGTACATATGTAACTAACCTGCACATTGTGCATATGTTCCCTAAAACTTAAAGTATAATAATAATAATAATAATAAATAAGGTTGTAAAACAGTGAATGCTTAACATTAATTTGGAATATTCAATAAGCCTATTTAAAACATTTTAGCCATAAATTTATATTTCTTATTTTAAAGTGAAATTTCATAACACTTTAAAATTCAGAACTTAAAAGTTAACTTTAAATTACCTATGAAGGTAAGCATATGATGCTTTTAAAATAAGAAATATCTCTCTAGTACTAAGTATGAAACTTTAATATGTTAGGTATATAAACAAAAACAATAAGCAATAACAAGATGTATAGTAGGTTCAGCATTTTTTTTCAGCTTTATCCTCCCATCTGGTGGAACAAAAATGTTATCACCTTATTTAAAATGTGACAATCAAAACTGCAAAATGTCATATTTCCACAAAACTCAATAAGAGTGAATAGATCAAACTAAAGATCTACACTTGTATATATTTCTGACTCATTCATTTGGTCATTCATTATTGCATTAAATCAACAAAATATTTATTGAGCACATGCTATGTGCCCAGTACTATGGCACGTATTAAACACAGAAAGTTGGAAAGTTAGACATTATCCCTGACATTATGGAGTTCATCATCCAATGCAGGAGGTTCAAATTGAAGAAGCAAATGGAAGGGTGAGTACAGAATTCCAATGCTGTGGTAAAATCTATGAAGGAAGCAAAATGAAAGGTGGGAGGAGAAAAAAAAACTAGATGGGGTAGTGTCCTTAAATTGGCTTGCTTAATGAAGCAGATTATTGGAAAATGAAAAAGACAGTACCTTGGGGTGTGGAAAGGAATTTAGCATGCTTGGAAAGACCAGAGTGACTGGAGCAGAGTGAGTGAGCAGAACATTAGAGGAGACAGGGTGAATTAGATCTATTTAGCTCTTGAAAGTTGTATATCTTTTACTTTAATTATTTTTCAGCCTACTTAGCCCCTTTTACCAAATATAAAACCATGGGTCATCAAGCAACAACGTTATTTCTCAAACCATGATAAAAACTATTCCAAAGGTTTATTTGATCAGCCTTTAAATCCTTAGGTTTTCAGCAAAATTGAGTGAGTTATATTTGGGTCTGAAACATAAGTGACTTTCAAGCTCAGGATAACTACAGATCTTTTTAAAATTTGAAAGCGAACTCTAGTTAGTAAATAATCACTTAAACATTACAAAACCCAAAAATACATGTTTGTCCATGATTTGTTTGAAAGTTATAAGTTATATTTCATGGGTGCTTACTCTCCAACCTTATTACTTTAAAAAGGTACAGATTGTGTTTATCTTGGTCACTGAAAATGAAGCATTTTTCTAAATGCCAATTTAATCATTGTTGACAAAATATATATCATGCATAGTGTTTGTGCAATCTATAATTACAAACTGACACCCACTGACAGTTCAGAATAGTTTCTATCCCAGCAAGTAGTTACAAATATTGAAGACCATTGTCTGATCCCATAAGGCATGTCATTAACTTTCATTATTACTAATGGCAGTTACAGGCATACTTCCAAAGTAAATCACAGCCATTATGTCACATCACTGCTCCTAACAATGTTTTATTATCAGGTTGAAAATTTTTGGTCATGTAGGCATAGTGTTATTTTATTTTTTTTCTTTAGGAAAAGTCCAGGGCCAGGCATGGTGGCTCACGCCTGTAACCCCAGCACTTTGGGAGGCTGAGACAAGCGGATTACCTGAGGTCGGGAGTTCGAGATCAGCCTGGCCAACATGGTGAAACCCCATCTCTACTAAAAATATAAAAAATTAGCCAGGTGTGGTGATGTGCGCCTGTAATCCCAGCTACTTGGGAAGCTGAGGCATGAGAATCGTTTGAACCCAGGAGGCAGAGGTTGTAGTGAGCCAACATAGCGCCACTGCACTCCAGACTGGGCGACAGAGTGAGACTCCATCTAAAAATAAAAAAGAAAAGAAAAATTCAGATATGTAAAATACCAGCACACATCCTTCCTTTCTCCTCTTATGTGCTTTTGTAGTCAGTATATGATTTAGGAAAGAAAATAAAATCAGTTTAATATTTAGTTAGAAAAATCTTATGTTAAAAAAAAAAAGGTGTGTTTGTATAATGGAACCCAACATTGGTAAGTAAAATGCACATCTCCAATATACCCTGTTTGAGGTCTGAACTGATAACAAACTTTATAACTTGACATGAATCAGAAGCCTTAAAAACATTTATAACATTTATTCAGTAATTCCACATTAAGATATTTGTCATAAGAAGATAATCAGAAATTCATGTGACCAAGAATTAAGAACCATCTTGGGGAAGTCAACAAACTTTGCATAATGTATGGAAACCAATCCAATTTTATCTGCATCTTATTTATTTATTTATTTATTTACTTATTTTGAGACGGAGTCTTGCTCTATCTCCCAGGCTAGAGTGCAGTGGCAAGATCTTGGCTCACTGCCAGCTCTGCCTCCCTGGTTCACGCCATTCTCCTGCCTCAGCCTCCCGAGTAGCTGGGACTACAGGTGCCCGCCACCACGCCTGGCTAATTGTTTTGTATTTTTAGTAGAGACGGGATTTCACCATGTTAGCCAGGATGGTCTCGATCTCCTAACCTCGTGATCCACCCGCCTCGGCCTCCCAAAGTGCTGGGATTACAGGCATGAGCCACTGTGCCTGGCCTTTATCTGCAACTTAAAGGCTAAATGAGAGAATTAATACCTAGGAATTTAGATAAATAGATTTGTAGATAGGTAAGTGGGTAGATGATAGATACATACACAATATAGAATATATGCAAATAGTTTATATACTATAGAGAACATAATTGATATAATGGAAAAAGTCTGAACAGCATATACCAAAATATTGACAATCTCTAATCAAGAGATTATAATTTTCCTTCATATATATATATATATATATATATATATAAATGCATATATAGGTATTACTTTTTATTTCATTTATTTATTTATTTGTGATAGAGTCTCACTCTGTCTCCCAGACATTGGCTCAATCTCAGCTCACTACAACCTCCACCTCCCAGTCTCAAGAGGATCCTACCACCTCAGTCTCCTGAGTATCTGGAACCACAGATGCATGTCACCATACCTAGCTAATTTTTTTGTATTTTTAGTAGCGACAGGGTTTCACCATGTTGCCCAGGCTGGTCTCGAACTCCCGAGCTCAGGCGATCTGCTCACCTTGGCCTCCCAAAGTGCTGGGATTACAGGCATGAGCCACCATGCCTGGCCCTGGTATTACATAATATGAAGTATTGTGTTTTTAAATGTATTAAGATGTATAATATTTATCCTGAGCTAAATAATATATTCCAAGTCGTCTACAATGAATACTAATTCTTATTAATTTTATAAATAATATAATCAGTAAAAGTAATAATTGTTAAAGTTTTTAAACTTCAAGTGTTCTAATATACTTTTTAAAAGTATGTTTTTTAAAATAATGTAATGTAATACAGTAAAGAAATAACTGAGTAGTTTAGCCAAAATTATAACTCTTTTAAATTTAATTTATTTGAAACTGTAACCTACAATCACTCTGGACTGATTCAGAATGGGTCTTTGAGTAGAATTTTTCAAAATGGGCATTTAACAGTTCGAGCAGTAGTAGACCTCAAAGTTCACGTTTATTGAAGACTTAAGGTGACAGTGACAGGTAAATTTATGTACTGTGACTGAAATGAACTGAATTTTTATAAATTCAAGATTCATATATAAATGAGTGTTACTCCCTTTAAAATTGTTGCCTTAGGATGTAATATACTAATAAAACTGTTTCTGCTGTGTATATAAATAACATTTATAAATTGCTTGTATAAAAATATCATATATATTTTATATAATAAATTATATATATAATTTTTATATATAATATATACATTTTTATAATTTTTATATAATATATAAATTATATATAAAATATATATATTATATATAAATACATATTATATATAAAATATATATAATAACCTAAGGATTTAGAGACTGATCAAATAAAACTTTGAAATAGTTTTTATCATGGTTTGAGAAATAATGTTGTTGCTTGATGACCACCCATTTTATATTTGGTAAAAGGGGCTAAGTAGGCTGAAAAATAATTAAAGTAAAATATACACAAATTCCAATAATATATAATGTTTTTATAGAGGCAAAGACTGCAAACTGCTGAAGCTACCTGATTGGACTTCTGCTTTTCCCTGCAGACTCACTCTACTTTCTCCTCTATTCCTGACCTTGTTTGAAGGCTCTTTTTTCCTCCTAAATTACATTTATTAAAAGCTTATTTAGTGATGATTTATTGATTAGTAAATATTTCCCAAAATTTGTGGTCTGAGAATGTTTCTATTTTCCAAGTTTTTGAAAAATAATTTTGATTATTATTTGATTCTATGTTAACAGTCATTGTCTCTAAGAAATCTGAAGATATCATTTTACTAACTTCTGGCTTCCATTGTTTCTATCCAGAAGTTAGCTGTCAGTCAGATTTTGCTTCTTTGTAGGCATTCTGTATTTTCTATCTGGTTGCTCCTAAAATTTTTTTGTCACTTCTTGATACCGTGCAGTTTCATTGTAATGTGTTTAGGGAATTTCTTTTTTGTTAGATTTACTGAATTTGAGAATTTGCGCCTTTTGATATTTCCAGAAACATCTTCCCTGTTACTCCTTTGCCTATTGCTTCTCTTCTCTTCTCTTTATTCTCACTGGACAACTTGATTAATTGTATATTATGTCTTCTTATTCTATTTGTATATCTAAACTCTTCTCTTTCTTGTCTGTATTATATTCTGGATAATTCCTTAGATCTTTAAGTTCACTAATTCTGTTAGCTGTGTCAAATCTACTTTTGAAGTCATCTATTGTGCTCTTAACCTCAAAATTATATATATTTTTATTTCAAAAATTCTACTTAATTCTTTTTCAAACCTGCCGGTTTATTTCTGATAGTCTTTTTTTCTTGTTCCTTTGCTAAACCACCAATATCCTCTTTTATTCTCAGGAATATGATAAACATATTTGTTTTTCTAAATATAATTGTAATAGTCACAGTCTGCGAAGGTCTGATTCCAGAATTTGTTTTCTGTGCTGTCTCTGGTGATACTTATTACATCACATATTTTGTGATTTTGTTTGTTTTTATTGTGAACTCATGTCACCAGTAAAGTTATATAAAATTTATTTGTCTTTAAAGTATAGTACTCAATGGCTTCCTGGAGAAATGTCTAATTCCAGGTCTGGGGAAGGAAAAGTACAAGTTTATCCCAGAACATCTTGTGCTATATAGAAAGAAAATCCTCCAGATCAAAAGAAGCCATATCAAAAAGATACAGGAGACAACTTAGGACAATGTGGCCTTCAAAAGAATAATAACATTAATTTATTATAACTCATAGAATTTTTTTTTAAAAAAATGAGTCCATAGTCATTTTTGAGAGAGAGAAATGGGTTTGAGGAAAGAGGTTCATTCATTTGTCCTTACTAGAGATGACTGGTATGCCAATAACTTTCTCTGAAGTTGGTAATTAGAGGGAAAACAATAAGCATTTACATTTTAGGAGGAACTGTGGTTTATTCCCAATTGATGATTACAGATTAATATCAGCTAATAAATGTTAACTATCAGCTAATGAATATGAAGTCTCAATAAAATAATTGATTCAGTTAGTATCATTATAGGATGTTTAAACTAATAAGTAAAAGGTAATCTAGATATAAGACTTTCAACTGGAGACAAAGTATCACCCTAATAGAAACTTGATAATGCCAAAAGCAATAATAAGTACATTTATTTACAAGGAAATCTAGTAATTACCACCTTAACTAAGTGATTAACCTTAGCCTTACTAATACTGCTACATCCTAACTTCTTGTACCTCTCGATGAGATGCAATATGAAGTATATAACAGAAACAATTTTTGCACAAAAAGTTTAAGCTATACCTAATACATACATACATGTAATATATATATATGTATACACACATATATACATTCAAACACACATATATATATATGCAAACTATGATAGAACCCCAGCTAGTGAAAACAATGACTATATGATTTAGCATCACCCAGGGAAATCTGAATGTAGATTAGCATGAGATAATATTAAAGGATTATTATTAATTATGGTAGTTGTGATAAAGATAATAGTATAGTATGTAAGAAAGTACTTTTTGGAGATGAATGCTGAAATATTTTTGGGTAAACCATCATGATGTCAACAACTTACATTCAAATGCTTCAATAATGAGATAGAAAATAGAGACAGAGACGGGAGACAAATATAAAGCAAATTTGGCAAAGTGCTGACAATTCATTGAATTTAAGTGGTAAGTATGCAGGCATTCATTATAATATTCTTTTTATATTTATATGTGTGAGTTTTTGATAATTAAAACATATTAGAAACATTGAAAAAGTTAAAGGGCATTTTTCCAGTGAAGGTTTGTGTTTGCTTCGGCCAAATTTCTAGGGCTCAATCCAAGAGGACCTAACTATATTTCTGACTTGAGGTTTTTCAGGCCATCCACATTGACGGTATAAATTTCAATCCCAAATGAATGTGAGGTTTCTTTTGTTTGTTTGGTTGGGTTTTTTTTTTTTTTCTTTTTTTCTCCTAATCCAGAAACAAGGTCTAGAATGACAAACAAACTGATTTCTTGTTTGTACAGACAGGCGTTTTACTTCTTCTTTTCCTCATTCATTCATATTAGCCACTTGAGGTTACAGCTTTATGGATGATGCATTCCATTCAACTTTTGCCTTGCTAAGGCCCAAGATCTGTTCCTGACTTTCACATGTATGACTCATGGATGTCTACAGGTCATCAAGGAGTGGTAGACACCTGTCTGAATGCCAACTTTCTCACCGTTTCTAATCCCTGAAGACTTTTCTTACTTTCTCACAAGATCAGTTATGTTTTGGAAAAGGTGTGTGTGTATGTGCACGCATGCATGTCTGTTATTCCCTCCATCATCCAGTTTGCCTTATTACCAGAAATGAAAATAAAGATTCAAAAAGAATTTCATGTGAAGGACTTAGTACAATACCTATATTAATCTGAGGATTTTGTTTTGTTGTTGTCATTGTCATCACTTTCCTAAGGCTACTGTGCTGGAGTTGTGCTATTGGTTTCTTTGTTACAAGAGTTAAACCCAGGGCAGGCCAAATATCAATAGGGAGAAGTACTTCTAGTAACCTAATTTAAAAACTATTAAAATCAACAAGACAACGATACCTTTTATCAACATTTATCTTACGTTAATGCCTCTCTTCAAGACAATACTTTCCTATTAACACCCCCAACGTACTTCTTCACTTATCTATTGTACACACATTTCTGAGTGAAGCTAAAGTCCCTTTCCTTCTACTCTGCCTTTCTTAACCACCTCTGCCTCCTTTGAACACCTGTGGCAATTCATGCCTGCACTATACCCCTTCATGGGTTCAGACTCATAAAGAGGTTAAGAGCACAGGGTAGGCAAACTGCCTAGGGTTTGACTCTTTCACTAATATATGTAGGCTCCATATCTTTGGAGAAGTTTCTTAAATTTTCTATATCTTTGTTTTCTTATATGCAAACTGGAGGTATTAGTATTCCCACTTATAGGACCCTGTTGATAACTAAATGAGATGGCCCAAGAAAGCTGTTTAGCATAGCACAGTATGTTGCATAATATGTAGTAAGTTCTAAATACTTAATTATTTAGTGCTTATTTTTATTACATATCTCTGTATGTCTATGTTTCATTCTTCTGTAAAGAGTAAAAAATTGTTGTAAATAAAGACCATGCTGTATCCTCTGTGTCTTTTTATGAGACTATCATATTGCTGAACATACTCTTAATTAGATTAATTCTTATTAATATTCAGATAACAGCTATAGTCATTTAAAAATATCACTAGCACTTTAACATTTTTTCTTTCTCTGATAATTATACTAAAATGTTGGACCTGGATGCTTCTCTTTCAGAAGCAAGGAATGTCATATTTTCAAACTTGATAAAATATACATCTATATAGTACCTTTATTTTATTTCAGGCTGCTAAGAAAATATTTGCCTAACCTTAGAAAATATGTTGTCTAATGCTGGGATTTCATAATCCACAATGCTTGTCAGAGAAGTATTGCTGGATATTTCAGCTTATCTGGAGTCCTTAAAATCATACCACATACTTAGAAAATGAGAGTTTTACAGAGGAACACTACTTGCCTGGATAAACCTGGATAGTCATTTCAACAGCCCCTAAAAAAATTTCTTTGACTCTTCAACAACTAGATTACAAAACACAGTAAATCAGTAAGTTCACCAAGAAAATTCTAACACTATGTTATCATAGTTGGCAAAATGATACTTTCATGGATCCAGCTTCTATGGAAGTGTTTCAAAATACTAGCATATTCTCAAGAATAAAAATGAATGAATCAGTGTGGGCGGGCGGGGGGAGGATAAAAGTGCCTATATGGGTGCTCTCTGTGTTTTAAATGAATGGATTTCCACAATAGAATAATTAACTGATCTACAGACACTTCTTCAAATCTTATTAGAGAGTTCCCATGGAATATCAAGTGCCCTGTTTCCACTTTTCAAGTTTCTCTAGCCATGGTCACTTGGAAAATAGTATCTGTCTGGGATGATTGTCATCACAATTTTTACTCACAGAATAAAGCTGTGTATCATCTCCTTGTTCAAAGAGTAAACCCTCTTCCCTAAATATTTATGACATTTTGGCACTTGACATTTGAAAAACAGCAGAATGGGGGGTATTCTAGAAGTAGGTTTATATTAAAAAATTAAATCTGGTGGTCATTTATTCAAAAGAGTAACATTTTAAAATTTCCCATTAAAATATAGTCAACTATCATTACTTTAGCTAAATCTATTTTAACCAGAATTGAATTTTTCTAAATATTAATCATCTCTGAAAACACTATGCCGCTTCTCTTGCATATAACTTGTGAGATCCTTAGACCCTCAGAATTATAAAGAAAACTCCAATAGTTTTATTTACATGTTTTTTGTACATTCATCCCCTGTGGTCTTTTTTCAACCTCACCTACTATGTTTTTACAAAGTCATCCATATCAGAAATGCAATAACAAAAAAAACTTTGAAAATTAAATAGAAGCATTAAAAAAAGTGTTTATTTGTGAATATGAGAACCTAAATAAAATAATTTAGATACAATTTGGGCTGAGCAATTTGTTGTAGATGAGGAAACACAAGCCCAGAGAGGAAAAGTGGCCTAAGTCATTTATGGCAAAAGCAAAATTGGAAATCAGGTTCCTGCAAAACCAATGAAGACATCCATCTATCGATCAATATATTAACTGGAACAATTCCCAAAAGTGAAAATAATTCTCTTGATGATCTCTCTGATAAACCTCACACAAAATTCGTCTTCACCTTTTACATGAAAATCTTTAACAAGTTTACATTATAATTATAAACACTGTTTTCTTCTTCTGATAAAGATATTTTCCTACACAATGAAACAAAAGAGGTTTTAAAAAACCACAACTCATGACCTCTTTCACATTCTCTGCCTATGTAACCTATGAAGACATTGCATTGACTTTGGGAGTCATAAACTATGGAAGTTATACTTCTACTACTAGAGAGGACTTTTAAAGCTTTTCTTAAGCATTCTTTATATTCTTTAATAACAGTTAAACAAGACAGAATAATTTGGTTAAATAAAGGCAGGATGATTATAAGGAGACTAGAAGTTACTATAAAATTATTATTAGAAGCACTAATGATGCCTAAAATATTTTAAGACTTGATCATGTCTACTTAGAGCTTTTTTATATTCAATTTTCAAATACAATCTAAATAGAAGTAAAAAGATGAAGACTTGTAACTTTATAGTTGACATCCATCTGAACATAATTTTTAGCCAAAAATCAAAAGAAGGTAAAAATACAGATTTTTTTTCCCGTAGTGGATAGTATTTTTTCTGCTAATAAAATAAAATAACATTTACTCAGGGTTAATGTGTGATTTTCTATGTGATTCTTAAAAATATATATTCTAAGTCTGCTTTTCCCCTACAAAAAGACAAGCTCCATGAAGACCAATAGTTTGATCTTTTTAAATTTAATGCTGTATCCATAACACTAGAACAAAAAAGCTATAATTACTACATAGTATTGATAAATATTTGTTGAGTGAAAAAATTGATATAAAAACAAGAGGGGCTACCATGTGTAAGTCACATTATGTGTGTTACTATGTGTAAGTCATATTATATTTTGTGTACTACTGTATATGCAAGTCGCACTGTGTTTTTCCAGTAGTTTGTTTTATACATATTGGTGATTTTCATATCTTAAAAGATGGCCCTGAAGGTTCTTTGTCAAAAGAATAGAAAACAAGTATCCTCATAAAAGTGAAAAATAATGACTTCCATTCATGCATATGATCTCATTTTATCTTTACAATAACACTGTGGTGGAGATGGGACTAATATTACCTCCAGTTTTAAAATGTAGTACTGAGGCTCAGGAGGTGAAGAAATTTGCACACATTTGTAAGGCTGGTGAGAAGCAGCCGTCCTAGAATGGTCAGTGTCTTTGAACTTTTAGACCAGTGTTTCATGGAAATAAAACTCATGGTTCATAAGAAAAATAGCCTGGGATATTGTAATCTCATACTAGCAAAAACATTATTAAACAATAAATGTTACATGATTATGATTAATATACTAAAGCATTACTTATTACTAAACATTTGGGACAAAATATCACCCCGTCAGAATATAAGACTGACTCTACTCAAAGGCACAGTAAGTAGTCATCTGTGTGGTATGAATTGAGGGAAAGTACCAGCCTTTATTTCCCTTAAATTCTCCCCAATGTATGAAACTGCCTGAAAAGGGGTAAAGGCATGAGTTAAAGACAAATATTGCCTGATAATAGTGCTGTCCATAGTTCCCGATTTCAAAGCCTAGTATGCTATAACCAAATATTTGTACAGGGTATTTAGAGACTTAATCTTGTTCCACATAACTACATTCTTGTCAGGACTTGGTGCTATTTCATATACTTCGTTACTGAGAGAGACACTTGTAAATCAAAATACCTCACAGTTGCTGCAGAGAATCTTACACGTGCAAGTATTACAAGTTGATTACCTAAGCCTAAACTATTCTTGATTATTATATATCTAACAGAGAGCTCCACTGATTTATTGATGTTGAAAAGTGGAAACAGATTTGATAAAATTGATTTTTGAAGCCACTTTTAGTTTCAATAAACAAAAGATCATTAAGGGCTCTCCCCCTCCAATTTGGTCTCCCTTCATCCACCAAAGAATTGGTTAAGGTGGTCCTAATGCTTAAAGTAAACACAAATATATCTTCTAGGTGCTCTACATTACAATAGTTCCTTGCTCAAATGTCTTAGTGGCTTCTTCTCATAAAGAGCTCAGAAGGAAAACCCCTTAATTTGGCAGACTTTCTATAATCTACTTAGCTTCCCCCCCCCGCCCCACCCCCTCATGCAACCTTACCTGCTGCTTTTCAAGTTCGGCTACAGACATGCTGATCTGACAATAATCCCATGGAAAGCTGGCCTCACAAATGCTCGGTTACTACTGATTCACAGACTTCTTCCCTTCAAATCCTCTCAAACTGCCTATTTCCCTTGGAGATATCACTTCTCCCACCACTTGAAGGCTTTTATTTTACTTAAGTTGTTCTTGTTAAATATTCTAGGGAGAGGAGACTGAACACACCAAGGCATGGTATTCCTCAGTCAATTCTTCTCCCAGCGAAAATCTTGACATGAGACTAAGGCTCACCAATACTCACCAATTCCATCACTAAAAGGTTGATTGATTGAATTTCATGTAATTATAAAACAGCATAACTAGAAACCCATAGGTTTAATATAATGCTTTATAGACATACCACCAGCTGTCCCTTAAAAAAGTAAAGCTGTTTTACTAAAAAAAAAAAAAAGCGCAATGGTGCAACTGTGCCTGCTAATTACGTTTTATACCAACCAGAAAAACTGCAGCATAAATTGAAAATATAAAGCTCCTTTGGATCATGTATCATAGTTCAGAAGAACTATCACTTTTCTTTGCCTATTATGCAGAAATGTTGCTATAATTGTATTTTTGTAAAAGAAATATTCATATTAAAGACTTTCATTTTATATTCATCTTTTATCATCCAAGTATATTTCAATATAATTGCTCTTATCCCTATAAAACTTCCCGGACCGTTGTAATCAACTCTACTAATATTTATGGTGCAAATCCTTTTCTAAATTCTGTAAGAGTTACTTTTCAGAATTAATGACTTAAACAAATGACTAACATACAAGCTTATCAACATATTTTATATAAATATCACAAAGTTCCCCAAAATTGTCACAAATATGTTTTGTACTTAGTGATTTAGTAGTTCTTAAAAGTGAAACAAAGTTCCTATAAAGAAAAATATTTATGCTTGGAAGGTTAAAGAAAAAGTATTAAAGTTAATTTATTATGCCTAAAAATAATTATAATGCAATGCAAAAGAAATGCTGGACTGGACTGGAATCACAGTCTTGTGATATAGCCCCACTTAGCCACTAGCCAGCTGCTTCATGTGAGGAAAATAATTTAACCTCTATGATACTTAAATATTCTCATCTATAAAGTGAAGAAACTGAGTTACCTCTTTGCTGAATTCCCTGCACAATATATTATTCTAAATATATAACTAGTTTACATCATTTGGAGTAAGATATAGGATTTAGTATACTAATACTTAGACCTATTCCGTTTGCTGAAGCAAATGATCTGTGTTTAGTCAAGGTTGTTGTCATTGTACTTTGTAAAGTCAAAGGTATTTGATGCTATTTAGTTTTCCTGATAGGAGAAATGTGTTTCAATTGAATTATGATATGCCTCTGCAGCCTTATTCCTTCAAGACCGGAGCAGTCTGCTGTCTGTCAGGTACGCCAATAAAAGTGATAAATGTTTCCAGTGATTAAGTTATTTGTCAATAATAGAAGCATTTTGAACTTATAAATTCTGTACCTATAATTTCATACTTGTCTAAAATATATAATCTACCTAAGCATTGAAATAAAACAGGAATCATTGAAAAAAATCTAGTAGGCTTTCTATGTTAAAAAATGTACTTTACCTCAAATTTCTCTGACACCTGAAGAAAATCCCAATAACTCACAATAATGATAAATCATGAAGCTTTCACTGCCTTTGAGATGGTTGCTTCAATATTATCTTAACATTACCTACCTAGACATTTCCTCATATCAGACATAAATACCAACTTAGCATATCCCATATATATGTGTGTGTGTGTGTGTGTGTGTGTGTGTGTAGTTACATATATACATTTTAAATGTTATAAAAATACAGTGTAAGAATCAATTAGCAATATTTAAAATGTTTTAAAAATCATTTTTACAAACTCTGATAGCATCCCCAAGGAAATCTTTTCAGAAAATACAATGGAGGATAATATGCTAAAGTAGTAATATTCAGGCTGTAGTAGGTCTTGGGGCAAATATTCAACATTCTCTTCAGCTTTCATTGAAAAACTAAACAAACCACAAATAGCAGGATAGTTTTCCCTTTGGAAGGAGATGGTTATAAATGTATTAAGGAGCATAACATATGCTATTAAATATGGATGGTGAATTATTCATATGTGCTATCAAAAGAGCCAAGCAACTGGGACTATTATCTACTCTACTAAAATTCTCATTTTATTCTTTGTTGTCTTTTGCAATCAGTAGACTCATAAAACTATCTGTTGTAAATGAAGACAAGGTTGACTACAAAGTTATAAAGAGAAAAAAGATTCAGGTTATAAACCAATGCTGACATATTTCCATATGCTTAGAAAAGTCTATACAACACTCTAACTGGCTGCCCAATATCTTTCAATATAATCTTATGTTGGCAAAATATTCATATTAATGCCCTACTTTATATAACTCTTCTGTTGAGGAGAAAGGGAAAGTGAATCAATAAAAACTAACACAGGGTCCGGGCATGGTGGCTCACGCCCATAATCCCAGCACTTTGGGAGGCTGAGGCGGACTGAGGTCAGGAGGTCAGGAGACCAGCCTGGCCAACATGGCGAAACCCATCTCTACTAAAAATACAAAAAATTAGCTGAGCATGGTGGTGGGCACCTGTAATCCCAGCTACTCAGGAGGCTGAGGCAGGGAGAATTGCTTGAACTGGGGAGGCAGAGGTTGCAGTGAGCCCAGATCGTGCCACTGCACTCCAGCCTAGGCAACAGAGCAAGACTCTATCCCAAATAAATACATAAATAAATAAAATGAAATAAAAACTAACAAAAGGAAATAGAAGAAACAGTTAAAAAAATTTTTCAGTTAGATAAGTTTTAACGGGGATTATAATTAACAATACACATTCTGTTTAAAAGACATAAATAAGCAAGAATATGGTTCAGAAAACATCTAGGGTGGCAACTCAAGAGCTTCAGAAGTGGCATATTTGAACCCACTACTAATCATACTACAAATAATCCAAACTTATTGCTTATTTAATCAATGTTCTTTGCTAGTAAAAATCACTATGAGAGATGGCATTGTCCCTTGCCTTGCACTTCCTCTGTCACAGTGAAAATTCTGAAGATAGGTTTCAGAGAGTAGAATTCCATAAGTTATTGAATACCCCACTATAAGCTCTGTATTGGTTCAAATCTATGAAGAAACAAAATAAAATTTAGAAATTGCGACCACTGCTTTAGAAAGATATCTGATTTAAAAAAAAGTAAGACTGCCACAATGCATTTGTAAAGTTGTTGCTATGTATTTGTAAAGTTTTTCAACATCTTTAAATTGCACAGCTAATATATAAAAGTACACATTGAATACAAATAATTACACGTTGGATGTAAATAATTGTTTATTAATACTACCAAATAAAAAATAAAATTTAGTTTCACATTGTACAATTTGTTAAAATAAGAACTTTAACACTGTGAAATGGGTTGCAAAAGATGGGGATCCACACTGGGCAGTTTGGCTTTCCCAGAGAAGGTTATACCAGCTGTTTTTCAATGTGCGTGGGAGGGTGTTGCTTCCACTACATCCTAAGTCATACTGAGTCAATGATCTCATTCGTTACTTCTTCCTCCTTCCTACTTCCACTACCTCAATTCAGGCCTCCTATTTCTTATCTATATTAGTCTAATAGTCTCTTAACATGTCTGTCTTTTTTTCTCTGTGCCTCAAATCTACTTAAACTTTCCTACTCTACACACACATTTTACATTTCCATAACTTCCAGAGTAATTTTCCCACTAGATTTGCTCTGATAACACAGGGCTGCATCCTATCTCCAATCCTCTGCTCACAGTGTTTTCGCTGCATAAAAATGCTTGTCGCTTTTTGTCTCACCCACAAGAACGTATTATTTAACACCGAGCTGGTATAACCTTCTCTGGGAAAGCCAAACTGCCCAGTGTGGATCCCCATCTTTTGCAACCCATTTCACTCAAGGCAGCATACTACTATCAAAGATGTATCACTGATAATCCCTGTTTTGCCTGTCGATAAAGCAGGTAAATCAATTAAGAAGAGGGAACATGACTCATTTTACGTTTCCAGTGCTAAGCATAAACCTGACAATAGTAGGTGCTCCATAAATATTTGTTGCCGGAATGAATCTAAGTGAGAAAGTTACTTAACTGAGAGGAATACAATTATTAGACTTTGACTTCACTAGTGTGTATAATAACCAATGACGTATTTCTGCTGTCATTCACTGTATTAGTCCATTTTCACACCGCTATAAAGAAACCGGCTAATTTAAAAAGGAAAGAGGTTTAATTGACTCACAGTTCTACATAGCTGGGGACACCTCAGGAAACTTACATTCATGGTGCAAGGTGAAGGGAAAACAAGGAATCTTCCTCACAGGGCAGCAGGAAGGAGAATGAACGCAGAAGGAACTATCAAACACGTAGAAAATCATCAGATCTCGTGAGAACTCACTCACTATCATCAGAATAGCATGGGGGAAACTGCCTCTATGATTCAATGACCTCCACCTGGCCTCCCCTTGACACGTGGGGATTACGGGGATTGCAATTGGAGAAGAGATTTCAGGTGAGGACACAGCCAAACCATATCACTCACTGATTAGATAAAACACCAAGCACTTCTACATGGCAAAATATATTTAAAATACTTCTTAGGTTAATCTTGGTTACTGTAGTTCAAAAAATTAAATTGTATTTATCAGAAAGTATTAAGTATTTAATACCCAAAATAATCTGAAATTAATACTCAAAATAATCTGAAATTACCATTTCAGTTGGTAAAAATAAATACAAACTTTAACTGAACAGGAAATTTTAAAAAATAAATCATAGTAAAGCATAGTTTTGTTAATGCTGTCTTAGAAGTAATGTCTTCTAAATATGGTATTATCAATAGCTAGAGCATTACTTCTATATTTCCATGGATACACTCCACACTTCCACATGTAGAGTGGGAACTATTTAATTATTAATTGATAATGGTCACTCTAATTATAGCAAAATATGAGGGCTCCTTTTGGATTTGCTTAGAGTGCACTGGCTGAAGTAGAATAGCCTTCTGCATTAATTTCATATACCAAAAACAGCCTATATATTCCATTTAAAACAAAAAAACAGGTTTCAAAAATAATACTATTAGCTTCTAATCCCAACTAAAAAGAGTTTCTGAAAAATATCAGAACAGTATATGGCCTCAGTTACACTAAAGGAAATCAATGTCAGTGTGTCACCAAGGATGTTTTTTTACATGAACTTTAGAGTAAAATCAGTCAGGACCACAGTTGTTTTTACATCAAAAGTATCCTCAGGTTTAGCGATAGGCTTGTCCAAAGTACATTTTAATTTCATGTTTGCCAATATCACTCTCATTTGTCAACACTCTATTCATGACTCCCCATTTTGCTTACTTACATGGTTACTCTATGATCAGGTTTTTTTACTGCTTTCAATTTCTCAACAATTGATCCCATGTTTCTTTACCAATATTTGTCATTATAAAACAGATCTGCCTTTTTTAATGGGTTAATATTTCCAGGACCAACAAAAAGAAGACTGAAGAAGAGGCAAAGCCACTGAATAAGGCACTTTGCATTTATCCCAGTTTTTTTTCTTTTTTTAGCATCTAGTACAATCTTGAGTTGGCAATCTACAAAGAAAAATCTTGGTAACACACTAAAATAAAAGTTCTATCTTAATACTTAACAGCTGGCACAAGGATTTCCATTAGGGAGGAAATTTTCTTTGTCTGGGAGATTGCCTTACCAACCTATAGAAAGCAATATTTTGGCAGAGGTGAAAGCCAAAGCAACAAAGCAACAGTGAGGCTTTGTAGGAAGTAGAAAAACAAAATTTCCTTTGTAGTAGAAAAATGAGATTTTTTTTTTAATCCTGACAAAAGAGAAAGATAGGATGCTAAGAGAGGAAAAAGGGAGAGAAGCCAATGGAATGCTATGAAGTTTAGGCCAACTGAAATCCTGACAGATATTTTAATAGCAGGATTGACTGACTTCCAATTTCAGTCATTTGAATTGATGTGATATAACCCTCCTCTCTTGTCTCTCCTACCATCATCAGGAAAGTTTACTGCTCTTGAGAATAACTGGTGTAAATGGTCGATTTGTGAGCATTGATGAAGAGACATGATTTCCTCTCTGAGTTGAAGTGATCCATAACAGAAACCTCTCCAGAATAAGCAGAAATGCTTTGATAGAATGAACTTGAGCATATAACCTTTCCCCACTCACCATGTTCCTTTGTAAATTTGCAGAAATCTTAGGGAAGGAATTGGACTACCATGCAGTATGTTAGGGGAGGCTAAAACAATGTTATTTGAATTTTCTGCTGATATATGAGTTGCTTTATAGATTTATGGGAGTTGACAAGTCCCACTCTTCTCCCTATTAAATATACTGTGATTTTTGCCTATCAAATTTGTAGTCTTTTCAAATAAAAAACCTTAAAACAGGAAATTAAAATATTGTCTTAATAAAATAATTCAAAGGATAAAGAAACATTGAAAATGACAAATGTTTACATTTAATTCGCAAGAGTGAAGTATTTGTCAGTTTTTACAGGTAAAGGTTAAAAAGACATGTAAGCACTAACCTTTAACAAATGGTATGCACAAATCCCCAATAACAAAACCTAATTCATTAAATAGATAAGTTGCACATTCATATTGATAATCTACTTATTGTTCCAGTAAGCAAGAAAAGAGTTGAACTTAGCCCATGAAAAACCATGCCGAAATTACAAATAATAACTTAATCAGTAAAAGCTTTTAGAAAACTCAAAAATACCAATATTAGTTTTAAAAATTAAATTACTGTTTTATAGACTTCAAATTAAAGTTTTATCACCTAATTGGTATGTAGGACTATTTATAAACATATATAGTAAATCGCCATGATAATAAATGATTAGGCTGGTTTTTCAACATGCCATACTCATATTAATCTTAAAATATAAGTAAAAAAATTCTCCCTCACTGAGAAGGGAATATTTAAATGATATAACCATCTAACAAATATCACTTACAGCCCTGTTAAAATAAGATATTCTCATGATCAATGCTAATAAAGTTAGACTAAATGGTACAGACTGCTAAAAAGTAAAGGTTATAGAGAAAAATTACGTCAAAGAAATGAGATTAGTGACTGTAGCAACAGAAATGAGAGCTTGGACATGTCTAGACATTTCCTCTCTGATTTGTATAATTGTGTAAAACCAAGTTTTTAAAACCAAAATAAAATGAGAACAAGCTGTCAACTTTCTGGTTCATGACTACACATTTTTTTGGTTTGTTTTCCACATGCCAGTTGTGTCTCATTTTCTCAATGAAAAAGATCTGCTGGTTTTGTAGCTACCATCAGCATGAAAATCTATTTCAATAAAAATGCCAATACATGTCTGAAAATTAAGGGTATGCTGCCACAAATAACATACAAAAGGCTAAATATGACCAAAGAATGTAAAGATGGTGGAATGAGGCAAAATGGATGTTAAATTCATTAAAATTAGTCTCAGGCCTCAATTTTTAACACTACTGCACTTTGGGAGGCCAAGGTGAGCGGATCACGAGGTCAGGAGATCGAGACCATCCTGGCTAACACGGTGAAACCCCGTCTTTACTAAAAATACAAAAGAAAAAAAAAATATTAGCCAGGTGTGGTGGCAGGCGCCTGTAGTCCCAGCTACTCGGGAGGCTGAGTCAGGAGAATGGCATGAACCCGGGAGGCAGAGGTTGCAGTGAGCTGAGATCGCGCCACTGCACGCCAGCTTGGGCAACCGAGTGAGACTCCATCTCAATTAAAAAAAAAAAAAAAAAAAAACCAAAACAGAAGTAAAAGAACAAGTTTGTTCCTTTGTATATAATGTAACTTATAAAAAGTTTCCACATCTGGTTATATTTATAACCATTTTAAATTCTTTTAATTTCTTAATCTAGTTGTCATTAATTATGATTTGTTTGTAGAACATAGAAAACAAAGGAAAGTAAACCTTCACTATAATACACAGGACCCGAAGATCTAACAATAAAGTGTTATTTTAAGATTTTGTTTGTCTTTTCGAAACTAAAATTCTGTTGGTAGAACCAGATTTTTGAAGTACCTAATAATTTTCAAGGACTCAAAAAAACCTAATCATGCTAAAATTCAGGATTAAACATTGTATTCATTAACTTTTCCTAATTGTTAATAAATTAATTAATCATAAATTCCATTAACATTATATACTCTTATTCAAAAATGTACTTTTTGGTAAAGGTAATTGGTAGTCCATAATCTATCAGCCTTTTCATAAAAACTCAAAGATACTCACTGAGCCATCTAAACTTAAGTTTCATGTAGTGTCTGGCACAGACAGTATATGTTTCAGCTTAAAGGCATTCATATTTTTAAAAGCTACCTCTAGTGCTATTTCTAAGAATGGCAAGCAGGACATACTGACAGATTTCACTGCTATTATGATGCAATTCACAATATAAATGTAAATTACAGTCTAAACTAGTAAAGAGGGGAATCAATTAGTGCTTAATCTATTTGAAGTTCTTTCTAAAAGTCTCTAAGAATGAAACATACCTCCCTTCTGTTGCTCATTTGATATTGGCATTTCTATGTGGCAGATGGTGACCTTATCCCTGTGCTTCAGCTAAAAAGATTTTTATTAAGGCTAAACAAGTGTGAACAGTGCTAATTTCCTGCAGCAGGCAGATATGAATAAACCTCTAGAATGAACGTAAGTACCCTGCCTCACCATATGGTTAAGATCCACATCTTGCCAACAGAATGGACTGAAAAGTAGCCAACTTGCTTGAATTCTGCCCTGACTCCCATGTTTCATCGTAGCCACCCAATCAAAGAACAGCTACAGAGGAAGGGAGATCAAAATGGATAAGAAACATAATTTGACAAATTGTTTGGTGGGCTAAGCTCTCAAGAAGGGCCATTGTGGGCAAATTCTGAAAAATAAAACATTGACCTGTCAATATCCCTTACCGTTCTGATGATGTCTTGCTGCTCTTCTCCCTAACACCAACATACTAACCCCTTTTCCTTAACTCAGAGCCCAGGTATGAGTGATACTTAAACATTGTTCTGGGCATACTACCCAAAACTGCCCCTGTAAGTGTATGTTCCATGTCTTGAGGTATCTTTTAAAACTTAAGGACTGTATGCAACCCACTTAAAGAAATACAATTTCACAGACCCTCTAGTTTTACTTTATTTTATACAGTTTCTTAAATATATAAAAACATAAACTAGGTAGAATCTTAGGGTACTTTAGGCGATAGAGAGTTTAAAAATGCACAAAACTTTAAAATCTCTACAATTAATATTTAAATTAACCATTGTTTGCTACTCTGGTATGGTAAACCATTGCTTAAGACTCGAATATTTTAATAGTATAGGTTCTTTTAGGTTGGCCATGCTACTGCGCCTTGGATGCTAACCCAAGATCCCACTGCTTTCTCTTCCTGAACTATTGCAAGAAATTAATTCATAGTGCTTAGCTTGACATCACTTGGTTGAACATAGTGTGCATGGAATAGTACATGCCTAACATGTGGTCATCTCAGTGGGTTAACCAGTGAGGCAGAACATATGATTTTTAATAGGCCATCAAAATGAACCTCAAAAGTTAAACATTTTCTTTCCTTCTTTACCCTACAAAAATATAATTATCATATAGGTAAAATTCAGTGAAATCTTTCTACGTGCCAAGCTTTTTAATGAGTTTTTCCCAACAATCCTATACAGTAGGTACTATAATTATTCACATTTTATAAATGGGAAAAAAACCTAAAATCATACACTTATGATGCTCATAAACTCCAAAGCCTTTTGCTTTAATTACTCCAATACACTCTCTATCAACTTGTTCTCAGCTAGCTGTCCGTTTGAAAAGTTCCCACCAATGAACTCTCCTTAAAGAGCTGGCTTCTTATCTTGAGAATATGTGCATTTTTCACATCTTTTCCTCCAAAAATGAATAAAAATAAAAGTAAAAATAATAGATTGGTGGAGAAAGAAATATTTCTCTAGTAGTGAAACATTTCATAGGGAAGATGTGTGAAGACAATACAGCCACATAGATAACTGCTTGTTCTCCAAATAGTTCAATCTGATTGTACTAGAGAACACACAGTAGCTGAATCCATTTACAGTTATATACTAAATTCATCATATGGTATTCCTGAGATTAGTTGTGCATTTGATAAATAAAAGAAAAAGATGGGACAACATTCTTAATTAAAATTTGTCAATGCCTCACTAAAACAAAACAAAATTTGAAATGTTTCAGTTTTTGACATACTCATATCCATTTTGTCCTTCCACAAAATTTTCCCAGATTAAGCATATCAAATGGGGTATTACCTTGGCTCTTTTGTATATATTTACCTAGCATCTAAAAGTATTTATCCTTTATAATGCTCCTCTAATATTCAACTACTCTTCTACTGTTGAGCTGTACAACCTATAAAATTTTTGTATGTTTTAGTAGGTATCAGTGATATATCTTCTTACATTCCACTCAGCCACACAAATATCGCCTTTTTTAGATTTAAATTCTGAGGCTGTATAAACTTTATGTCATTAAGACATTTCGTATGCTACCCAATAGTACTATATATAAACATAAGATTATTGAATAACTTATTTTTCTTCCTTTTGATTATGAAAAAAGAGTTGCAGTTTACACTGAGCTCTTCAAAAAGTGCAACACTGAAGTCTAGCAGATACAGAAACAAAACAGACACACACAAAAAAACAGAAACAAGTTTTCAATAAAGAGAAAGACATTAAAGTGAAAAAATAGCTCTTTATAATTGATACATTTCTTAAATTTGATCCAACTTTTAAACTGGCTGAAAATTAGAGTGTACTAAACAACTTTTTATTAGCCTAATTCCTTTTAAACTACATCCTCTCCAATACATTTCATGTACAATGTTAATATATATTTTTATCCATCATTTCGGTGGACTCTGACAAATACAATATTTGCAATGTCAAAAATAAATTCAGTGATGTGCTTGCTCACCAAGTTGACTTTTTTAAATTTACTAGACACAAGAGGATGATAGAATTCAGTCAGTGAAGAAAAGTGTCAGATCTCTAGGGCACAATACACCTTCTCTAAACGTGTGTCAGTTTCTAACACATATTAGCCTTTAAATATGTTATTAGTCATCAGAGAGAGTCAGGGAAAGCAGATAAGAATTTCTTTCAAGAACTCTTTCTAAGGCCTCAAGGGAAGTCTCCTATAATTGATCAACACAAGAGTTACACCTTCTGGTTATCTCAGAAGCACAAATGATCCATGTAATGAAGCACTCAAGTGTTTGGTTGGATGGGACTATGGGAAGAAGAAAAATCTGTCAGTTGCATGAGTGAAAAAAAATCACTGATGTAAAGATTTACATTTTAAATTTTACTACAAGTGTATAATTCTAGATATTGTGATTAACAGTATTATTATGTGAGCTTCTTTTAAAAAGGAACTATGGTATGTAATCAAATTAATTACATTACTTTTAAAAGATATCTAATATCTAATTTGTACGCTATGACTTGCGTAGCTAACAAAGTAAAAAACAAAAAAAAAGCCTGCCACTCTCCCATTTTTCTCCTGTGGAATCTCATTTCACTGACTTAGATATAACAGTGATAAGCTTAGTATGAATACTAAATAAAGGATAAGGGCCTTGGATTATGATTATCATAGAAATAAGATTTTACAGGAATAGTGCCTTTATTGTATATTACTAGAAAAAGCTAAAGCAAAAATGCAAAGTATAATATTCAAGCCTGAACTTCTCATAAGTCAAATATTTTAATTGGTCAGATAAATATTCAGAACATTTATTATAATTAAAATGAACAACACAATACTAAGTAAGAAATATGTGTTAAAGCTTTTCCCTATATTTTGGCCATCTTGATCCTCCTCAAAGAAGCTACAATTAAATACTCTGTGCAGTTTAAGAAATAATGCCCTGGCTGTTTTAATCTTCAGTTCCAAATGAATATGACATTTCTAACTGTAAAGAAATTTTAAATATATACATCTCAATAATATTTTATTATAATTTACTCAGTCAGTTCAATTATTTTAAATGATAGAATAATAGTAACACCTGATTTAGCACTAAATTATCAAAGTTCTTTGGGGTGGGTGAAGACATTGACCTAACAGAAGAGAGTTTTGCTACTGCTTTTCTGTCTCTTCACTCCAAATCAGTTTACAACCACCTCCTCTGAGAGCATTAATATGGGATTCATTGGTAGGTCAGTGTATGGGAGAGGAGGCTTAAAAAGAACTAGGTAATGAGACATGTGGCTGATGAGTTAGAAAAAACTAGGCAGCAGGTTTTTTAAAAATCATATAACAGTGAGAGTATGCACTGTCCAATATTCCCACAAAATTTTACATGAGTTTAATTTGCAATGTGTAAAATAGCACAAAATACAAAAAAGCAACATCTGCTGTTCATTTTTTGTGCCTTCTATTTAGTGATCGATCACCACATCTACTCCTCAAAGCTATGAATGTGTTTTACTTTATGACAGAGCAGATAAATAAAATGTGTTACAAACCTAAGGGCACCCAGTACGTTGAAAATATGGGCAAAAACAGTCCCATAACTGGCAGCAAAACCAACTGATTCAGTTATTATTTGGTCCTGGAACAAAAAGTACAAGCTATCTCAGAAGTGGGAAAAATAATATATAAGAATTAGTCATTGGAATAGTTAGTTCAATTTAAAATTTATTTTTAGTTGTTGGAAAAAATATGTGTTTCCTAATACACAGTGTCAAACCAAAGAAAGCATATAAGACTAGCTTGGTAAATTAAGTCCAACAGAATTTTTTACATGACTATTATTTATATTGTTCAATAATAAAGAATGACACTCTAATTGTTTACAAAATCCATGTGGTAAATAGGGAAACATATAAGAAAAACTCGGGTACCATTTGTTCTAAAAATCTAAAAATTACTAAAATTCTTAAAAGAAGCAATGAGTAAATACTACCTCAAAGCTAAAATAAATCATTTAATCCACATTTTTAAAGTAGTGTACCATATTCTAAATTGAAAACAAGGAGCTTTAAAAAAATAAACAAGGAAGGAAGGAAGGAGCGAGGGAGGGAAGGAAGAAAGGAAAGAAGGAAGGAAAGAAGGAAGGAAGGAAGGAAGGAAGGAAGGAAGGAAGGAAGGAAGGAAGGAAGGAAAACCTAGGATTCATTGTTTTTCTGCCTGAACCTCTATTAGAGGTGTAATAATATATATATTATTTCTTACAACATAAGAAATCATACAGAAATGAGAGAATTTCCTTCAAATGGGCCAAGTAGACACAAGACATGAACATATAGAAATAGTCTCGACCTTAGTTTTCAAACCTCTTTTCCTTTCCTCTTCATATTATTCTGAAGTTTCTATTAAATCAAAAAAATTGAAAATAAATACAATTTGTTGCTTTCCAAATTCTGAATATATACCATTTCTTATTCTGAAATGAGTATCAGTCTTTAAAATTAGCAATCAAAGAACTTTGAAAGCGGACAGTGTAACAAACTGCATAATGATTTTAAATCACAAGAAGGAATGGCTGCATATCAGCTAATTGTAATTATGTATTGTGCCTACTCAAAAAGAACCTGAAATGGAAATTGTTTATTCACACACTTAAAAATAAACTTTGGTCTTCACAAACTTCATGAATTTTGAATAGTATGTAGGCTGTATGTAATATCTTTCAAGCCATGGGAGGGGAGGCTTTCCTGATTTTAAAGAAAAAAGACAACCACACAGTACATTTGTATTTCTGTAAATATGTTTTGAATATATTTATTTTAAATGCATATATTCAGTATGGGAAATCTATGATGTGTCTCTTAGGACTCCACATTAAATACTGAGGTCAAAATAAATAACTCTGGATATTTTGAAAAATACCAGAACAAAAGGTAATCTGTAGCACCTTTTCCCAAACGGTATTATATCTCTACAGGGAAAACAAATTCAAACAAAAAATAAGGCATAAAGGAAAGGACATCTTTGAAAATGCAATATTTTTGGCATGGAAATTTCCAAAAAGAAAGCTATCCCAAAAGAGAAGCTTTACAAAAAATGCAGATACCTTCAATCACAAGCATGCCATCTGAAAAAAATAAAAGATAAACTGTAATGACACGTTTTTTAGATAAATTATTGCTCTATGGCAAATAAATGCTATAACTGAATAATCCAGGTTAAATAACCATAAAAATGTTTAGCAATACAATGAAACACCCAAGTTCTTTTGAGAAATACAAGATTTCAAATGTGGTATGGCAAAAAAAAATCATTCTTTAATGAAGAAAAAAATTTATGGACACCATGACTTTTATTGAACATATAGCTCATCTTGAATGCTTAATATATTGACCTCTTTTCTGTTCATCTATATACATAATAAACTAAACTTGAGCTATTAATGAAAGAATCATACTAAAGGGGAAGATTTCTCTCAAATTATTGCCAACTTACAGACATGTTTATGCTTTGTTAACATATACATGCTTAAAGGTTTAATGATTTTTAAGTCATCCAGTTAATAGATGAAGAAACTAAAGATTTTAAATAAATGTATCATATTTTAAGGACTTCTCAAATGATAACTATGAAAGTGAAACATCAATGTCAACCTTAATTTTAAAGAGATAAATATTGTAACAGAAATCAAAGCATCTCAGTTTCATGTTAACTAGTATTTATAAAAATGTTTAAAGTCATTTTCATGGCTCTGGTGTTTAGCTGTAAGATATGTTTATCATTGTTCCTGTAAATAATTAGATTCCAGTAGTCAAAATAATTAACTCAAAAACATGTAAAGGTCTCCTTTAACAGAGCTGCATGAAAGTTATAGACACCAATCATAGTGAAGTAATAGGCTATTGGGGCCATAGTGAAATTAGGTGGCACGTGACGAACATTGATCAAACACACTAAATTATTGACCCAATAGCATTTTCTTAAAATTTAGGATTAGTATTAGTATTAGGTATAATATGAGAGATCGTTTAATCTACCAAAGCGTTATAGATAGGGCTACTAAATAAACCTCAGAGAATATAAAGGAATTGTCCAAAGTCACCTATTAGTGCAGTCACTGAAAAGAGCCTAGATTTGAATGTGGATTTTCTGATGTCAAGTCCAGGACTCTTTCTGATGTGTATGCAAATAAAAAATGTTAGTTACACATTAAGAGAAAAAAGTGAAAATGTGGAACTGATAAAACCATAGTTATTATTTTGCATAATGACACAAAAAGAATATCAAAAGGTAAGAATATTTATATTTGAGTTATTATATTCAACTTAATACTTGTCCTCAAATGCATACTGGTATTTATAACATCATGGTTGTACTATAGATCATGCAGTCCACTAAATGTTTTCAAATGTATACATTCCATGTAGAATATTTGCTATTTCGTTGTGAAAAGTTAGCTAAAAATTTGATGGATTGTTTTCTCTACATTTTTCTTGCATTGATGATTTCTAGCATTGATTATAATATCAATGTGTCAGAGGGTAGTGAATAGGGCATTTCCTGTTTCTAAGAAATTGGTGGCAGCTTACAGACTGAGGACAAAGACTCACAAAGTCTGAGTATAATGATCCTCCTGCAGGGCTTGAACCATCACCCTACTCTTCCCCCATCCCCAGGATATAAAAGGAGAGAGCTAGGAAGGAAGAGAGAGAGTTTTCAGAATCAGCCTAGTGAGAAGGCTTCTGAAAAAAGAAAGAAAAATTATCACATTGAAGGATTCGCTCAGAAGAGGAGACAGGCATTTCGCTTCTCATTTGGAGATCTGCTTTGGCAACAAACTTACTGATTCTCCCACTACATAACTGAGCAAAGAAATTGGAAAGAGATGTCATACTGAAGCAACAGAGGCCACAATAAAGAAGCTTGCCCTCTCACCAATTGCCATGGCAAGAATATAAGAGTGTCTCTCAGGGAAAGTGAAAGAAAGCCAACTCAAGTCAGCTAGAACTCTACCAAAAGCTATCCACCATTAAGGAGATCCCAGAAACTAGGGGTTGTGGAGCTGCTAACGTGGGTAGTCCAGAGTACTGCTTCAGTTCCGGTGAAGCCACTGGGACAAAATTCACTGGAAATATTTGAAAAGAGTTTGGGTGGTCATCTTTCAGAAAGGTTGAAGGAAGTTTCACATCCAGCCAGTTGTCTTTTGTCAAGGGACTGTCCAATAGGAAGGCCCCACAGAGCCACTTAAGAACTTGTATGTGCCCCACACCAGATACATAGAGGGAATCAGCTCCCAGGTAGTAGAAGCCAAAAAATCATTGACCAACAACAGAAAGAACTAAAAAAGCTATGACATAAGTGGAGAGGGCTCCTGCCCTCACCTCTTGCTTTTCCACAACAGAGAGGACCCAAGTCTTGAAGAGAAAGAAAGAGGACTATTTAGATGAAGATTAAATCCCCAACATCTGTATCACTTCATGAAATCACGCCCCACTTCCCTCAGGCCTGCAATTCAGGGATGGCACAGGATAAAATAGAAGTGAGATATTAAACTGGATGGCTTTTAGGAATTAAAGTGACTGTAAAGTTATAGAATCTGTTCAGGATATTATTAAACGAAGAAAAGGGAATACTCAATACAGCAAGGGTTAAAACATTGACTGGAGAAGAATGAGGCCAGTTAGAGTTTTATATCCCACCATGTACTAAATTTATACAGGTAAATTAAACTGCCTTTACAAATGTTTAACTCATTGATTTTAAACATTAGAAAACAAGTAAATATTAGATATCAATGATATCATTTCATCATCAGGAATAACAGAAATTCTATTTGGACAGTATATTAATTTAAACGGGCCCAGTGGGTTAACATTTTCTAGAAGAAAGAAGAAAAGAAATCATATTGTCTATTTTAAATAATTTCCTTTCACTAGCATGGGTCTTGTATTAAGGAGTGTGGGAAAGGTAGCTGTCTTCTCTTGCATGCCAGTAACAGTTTTTCCTTTTTTTCATTTGCATGTTTTAATTTTACAATAAATAGTATCTTACGTGTGAAAATAGTTTAGATCATTGATCCAGATCAGTTACTCTAAAAATATTAGCTCTGATATTTTTGAACAAACCACCTTGTTTTCTCTATTGTGGGTTTGTAACCACACAATTTTCTAGTTGGTGGATATTAAAGAATACATAGTGAACTCCTCATTCAGGCTGAGAATCTTCCCTTCAACCTTTCTGAAAGATGACCACCCAAACTCTTTTTTAATATTTCTGGTGGATGCTGTCCCAATGTCTTCACTAGAACTGAAGCAGTATTCTGGGATACTCATTTTTCAACCTTTGGGTCTGCATTCACTGTTGTCCAACAAAATGAATATAAGTGATATGTGTTGGTACGACAAGTGGGAGAGGGCAGGTAGAAGGAAGGAGTACATAGGAAGACATGGTGTTATTATCATGAGGAACCTTATAACATATATTGAAGTTTTCTCTCTTGATTAGATTTTAAGTAAACTATTACTTCATTCTGTGGTTTACTGGATTATCATGGCTTAAGAAAAACTCCTATATCTTGTTAAGTTATACTAGGATCCAGTAAGGCCAGTTGTACAGGAAAATGTGACCTATATCGTACCCGTTTCAAAGAGGAATGGTTCTTGTAACTATTTCAAAAGCACTTCAAAAGCAAACTAAAAACTACAAGAGGCAACCATCCACATTTTACAAGTCCTTGGCCTAGAACAACATTTTCAACTTTTTTTTTTTAACCTAACTAAAATCTGCCTGGAATTTCCATTGTAATTCCTATGGATAACTGCTAAAGCTTTTGGTCCATGCCAAAGTGAAAACATACTATAAAAAGACATGCCAGCTAACTGGAATTGAAACTTAGATTTCTATCTGCTCTAGTCCCCTAGTATAAACTCTTTAAAAAACTGAATGTTTTCATGTGAAGATAAGCATTAGTGAAAGAATGAAAAGTAAAACTGAACTGATGAGCCCTCTCCACTTACCTCATTGCTGTTATAGTTCTTTCTGTGGGTGGTTAATGATTTTTTGGCTACCACTACCTGGGACCTGATCCCCTCTGTGTAGCTGGTGTGGGACACATGCAAGTTCCTAAGAGGCTCTGTGGGTCCTTCCCACTGGGCAGTCCCTTGGCAAAAGACATCTGGCTGGATGTGATTTCTTCCTCTATCTCACATTAGCTCTGCCTGAGGCAGTTCCATAGCTCCTACTTTCTGGGATCTCCTTAATGATGGATAGGTCTGTTGGGTAGAGTGCTGGCAGACTTGAAGTGGCTCTCTTCTCGTGCCCTGAGAGACACTCCTACATCCTTGCCAGATTAAAAAAAAAAATATATCGTGGGCATGCAAAAAATGAAACCTCAAAAAAAAAAAAATAAGGAAGGACTATGAAAGCAGCCCACACTGGGTATTTATAAATGAAATAAAATCTAGATTGCTTTTCATTATAGAGGTTCTATATGTGTATTCATCATGTGAACTGAAGTGTAGCATAAGTTTGTATGTAGATGTTTCACTGTATTGCTGAACTTGAATAATACAAGAAGGTGGGAATAGAGTAGATAGACATCTTAAAATATAATCACTCGGAGTGTAAAAAATATTTCCCTGTAAGTGTTCTAACACAAATTTTTGCCCTCTTTTCTTCCCACTATAGCAGTAACAGCAATATTGAATAATGGAAGGTCGAGCTCTGGGTTTGCTATTAAAAATAAGAATGAAAGACTTTAGCTTACCTTAAGCTTGCATTTGAATCATTGTGCATTTTTACCAGGCTACATAGAGGCTCTGGAAACTTTGTCTCAGATCCAAACCTTGAAAGCTTTGTATCTTTTATAAAATCTCTGATTATATTAATGAAACTATTCCTAATTGGCTTATCTATGTTACTTTAGCATCTGGCAGTTTTACAGACTTGACTAAAAATATATGTTTTAAAGCCTACTACTGTATAATTAAATGAAAGTTTGGCTTTATTCAAAAATGCAAATGAATTCTTGGCTTTTTCTCTTATTCACTTTTAAATTATTTATATGTAGTCCCCATTCATAGTGCTTTCTCTGGTCCAGAAATTATTCAATTTCAACAAATTTCCAACTGGTTTAAAATTTTACAAAGAAAATGGCTTTAAATTATACAATAAAAACATACTTCTGTTGCTGGAAAAGGGTATAAAATATGTCTTGTGGTATGAGATTGGCCAAACCAAAAATGAATGAATAGACATTTCATTTTCTTGTGTCATCTAAGACAGCTACTATCATGTATATTAGCGGGTGCTTAGATCAAATCTCAGAAGAAAGAAAATTATTTTTACAAGTTATTTAAAAGCAATAAATGAACACCTTTAAAATTCATCCATCCTTTAAGTCTCATCAGTCACAAAGTAAATGTTTATAATTCCATACTTTATATAGACAACAACAAACATTTCTAGATTTCAACCTTCATCATCTGCAGGAGTTTCCTGCTAAAACTCTTGAAAGCACACAAACTCCTTCAAAATACATCAGAGCTTTTGTGGTTGCCTGAAATTGCTGATGCCTCTTTTCCTCTCCATAAAGGTTGACATCTGGAGAAAGTTATTTATATCCTGAAAAAAGAATGAATGAAAGACGATATATGCTACATGACAAATGTGAACACAGAAAAAGCTTTTTTTTTTTTTTAGAAAAAAGCAGCCTTTTAAAGAGTGCCAGCTTTGTTGTTAATATTTCGAAGTAGCTAACAAATATGTTTTCACTAATGCAAAAATAGTTTTATTTACACAGCAACTGACTACTAATTGTGAAGTAAATATATGCTACAAGGAATCTCCTATTGAGTGTTGGTCATTCGTAAGGCTGTTCAGCTCATTGAAATGTTCCTGACAATAGTAATATAACAATATTAATCAAGTTATGAAAATGTCACAAATTACATATTAGCTTTTTATTTATATATAATAAAAAATAAAATAGAATTATATTAATGAATATTATATCAAATCTCATGCATTCATAAACTATAACTGTGCTTCTTGGAGGTGAATAAAATTAAATTAACACATAATTTTAGTTTCAGTGGAAGAATGAAGTTTAAGGAGTTTCAAGGTGAAGAGACCATGACCCAGAAAGAAACACTTTGACGTTGCCACAACACTGGCAATGACAGAAGGAAATATTTTGGAAACAACTGAATAAGTGTGAACCATATCAGCCTAGAGTGTCAATGACAACAACATTGACTGGAGGCCAAGACTTAAATAAAACTGTCTTTGATTGATTGTTGTTCTTGTTCTTGTTTTTCAGCTCATGTGGGAAGACAATCTTACCTCATGCTTTTAGACATTGCCTCCCTCTAGTCAAAACAGCACTCAACCCCCATAAGACTTGAATTAACTTAATCTTATTCTCCAAATTAAAGATAATTTTCTTTCTCAGAAATGCTGCTAAGTACTTGACCTGACTGGAATCTCATTATATGTGGATTGCCTTGATTTAAATAAATAACATCGGTGTCCCGCTTGATGTGTCTCAGCTAGAAGAGTAATATTTTTGCAACTGCAAAGGTTTTAGGAGAGTCTTGTCAGTGTGGTACCTGGGCCTTTTAACTTCAGATCATCTAGGCAGCTCAACAAGAATGGAGAGCCCTGGATTTCACCGCAGATCTACTGGGTGAGACTCTCTAAATCTGAGGTCTAAAAACATACTTCTATAATAAGTTCTCCACAATAACAAAGATATGGAATTAACCTAAATGTCTATCATGGGTGATTGGATTAAGAAAGTGGAACATACATACAACAGAATACTATTCAGCCATTTAAAAAAATGAAAACATGTTTTTTGCAGCAACATGGATGGGACTGGAGGCCATTATCTCCAGTGAAAAAACTCAGAAACAGAAGGTGAAATACCACGTTCTCACTTGTAACTGGGAGCTAAATGATATATATACATGGACATCAAGTGTGGAATAATAGAAATTGGAGACTTGGAAGGATGGGAAGGTTTGAGGGGGAAGAGATGAGAAATTACTTAATGGGTACAATGTATATTATTTGGGTGATGGTTAGACTAAAAGCTCAGACTTCACTCCTACACGATATATTCATGTAATACAACTATACTTGTACCCGTTATGTGTATAAATTAAAAATAAATAAAAATTAAGAGTCAGCAGGCAAAAAAAATTATCCAAGGAAAGTCAAGATCCTTCGCTTTCAGATATTATCCTGTTAGCCATATTGCATTTTTTGGAACTATTAAAGGGAGTGGTGCAGATGATAAAATAGTGAAGGAAGAGCTCAGGAGTCCTGTTATCAAGATTGACTTAGAAAGAATATTAATCTAATTCAATTCCCCCATATACTTAGTCTCTGCCAGGTATAAGCCCTTTAAAAGGCCTATGCTGTTCTTCCTCGAAAAATCCACCACAAAGTCTTTTTTATAAGAATGTTTGGGGCCGGGCACGGTGGCTCACGCCTGTATTCCCAGCACTTTGGGAGGCTGAGGCGGGCAGATCACGAGGTCAGGAGATTGAGGCCATCCTGGCTAACACGGTGAAACCCTGTCTCTACTAAAAATACAAAAACAAAATTAGCCAGGCATGGTGGCGAGTGCCTGTAGTCCCAGCTATTCGGGAGGCTGAGGCGGGAGAATGGCGTGAACCCGAGAGGCGGAGCTTGCAGCGAGCCGAGATGGTGCCACTGCACTCCAGCCTGGCGACAGAGTGAGACTCTGTCTCAAAAAAAAAAAAAAAAAAAAAAAAAAAAAAAAAAAAAAGAAAGAAAAAGAAAAGGTAAAAATTATAATGAAGCACAATGCAGTGACTTATAATGACAGGCAAAGTTTATGCCTCCACCACTGCAATTGGCTCCTGCTCAGGAGGGACTATAAAAAATGCCTAAAATATGAAGTAGAAAGTAGTTTTATTAATCATACTTTCTTCAACCTGCTTCATGCACCTCTGCTGTACATCACTAACTGAATGCTATCATTGCCAAAGCCATGGACCCTCTCCTTAGGCTGAGCTTGTGTAGGATATCTAATCTTCCAGATATTCTGCGTTTTGCTAGTTGCCTTGATTGCTAGCTTCGAAACCTGTGCTGCTGCTCTGTTCCACATGTGCTCTTTGGTTATTCTTATTCATACACACTTCATGTAAGTGAGTTTCAAGTAATAAAAACAATATGCAGCAAAAATAGAGGGTATTGTAATCAAGTAATTCGAGGAAAGGTTATGTATCTTATATATTTTTTCTTTTGGAGATTTACTAGTCACACTATGCATTGAAGGACCAGGGAATTCTTGCAGTAAGGAAAAATCTATAATATATTATAATCCACCCTCGCAGACATACCCAGGAACAATACTTTGCATCCTTTAATCCAATAAAGTTGACACTCAGTATTAACCATCACACAAAGTGAAATTTTTTTTTTTTTAATTACCAATACGATGTTCACTAGTGCTCCTCAAAATTGATCTTGGGAAATACTACTTTCCATGCATGTTGGAGTCTCTTTGCCTTGTGTCAATGATCTGATTCTACCTGTGTGATAGATATTAGAGCCCTGGAGTCATCCTTGGATAGAGGCAACGTCTTGGAGGTGTCTGCCAGGAAACAGGTGTACATAAAGTGGTTTACTGAGAAAGAATTATGGCATTTTAAATCGTTTTATTAAAATTGATTTTAAGAACTTCCCCAAAAGACCAGGCAGTATGTTGCCACAATCCAACTGAGTTATCTAGTTTGATGTAAAGACAAGCAATGTGTTAATAAAATACACATTGGAATAAAAATACAATTTATATTCTTCCTATTTCAGTTCCTTTCATTCCAACCATTATGTCTAGCATCAAGACAGTCAATAACTCTCTTGATTAGAAAACCAAAATTACTTTTTTCACCATAGATTTCTCTAAAGAAATAATAACAACCATTGCAATCATAAGGCATTTATTAAGTAATATTGTGCTAAACAAATATTATTCAAAGATATTTAGGTATAGACTACAGTTTCTTTTTTTAACTCATACTTTTTGTGTGTCTTGCAGACTATGGATACTGTCTCTAAAACACTGCCTGTAAAATGTCTCTATGCTATTATATAATGTTAGCAGAATATTGTTTAAAATAATTTGTCATATTGCTCCACTTAATTCAAATTTCAAGCAAAACACTTTGATAGATGATTTGTCAAAAAGATAAGTGTCTGAAATCTTTAAGATGGCTAACCATTGATTTATGGTGTTTTAATGCATCAATAAAAATATATATAGGCTTTTTAAACACAAGAATCTTCAACATTATATCTCTTCCTTACATAAGAAAGATTTTTCTCAGCATAACTCAGATGTTCCAATTTGATGGAAGTATTCTTTCCTAGCAGACCTACTCAGCAGTCATCTAAATCCATTCCCTCCTTTCACTAAACCCCACCCTCGACCCAGTTTCAGGATTCCATGTGGGATGTTTATCTGTTTATCTCATGTGGGATGAGCAATCAGGGCTGAATGTTACCAGTTCCCTTGGACAGCAGCCCTGCTTTTCTGCACACCATCTCTCATTTCTTCATTCGCAGTTTACTTGGGCTACATTCTCTAAAAATTTGCTACAAACACAGGCACAGGCCTGACTTTAACTCCCAGGAGCACAGATAAAAGCAGATCAGTGTGTGTAATGATACTAATAGGAAATCTAATTTTTAAGATGTCCTTGTACCTATAATTTTTTTAAGAAAAATAACATTTTATACTATAAAACAGAGAAATTGTGTCCCCCAAATCTTCCTGGTCTTTTTTAGAGTAGTATCTTGACTCTATTTTTGCTGAAAGAAAAAGCTCAGTGACATTTTCTCCAAAACCAAAGGGACATTCTGCCCTATTAAGTGAATTCAACCTTCTCCTGAGAAACAGAAAATATGCTGTCAACTTTAAAATAACCATTTCTTATAACACTCCCCATGGTCAGTCATCAATTTTTAAAAACTGCTTGGGTCTATGTTCAGATGGAGCACATTGCTATATCAGAAAAATATGTATTGAGGGACACCGGCGCAGTCAGTAGCAATGTATAGTTCTACCATAATCATATATAACTCTTATACAGTGTTAGGCCCTAATAATTCTAACCAAACAACACATTAACATATTAACATTTAACACCCTGAAAGAGGTATATTAGTGTCTCTATTTCACTTGAGCAAAATTAAGCACAGATAGGTTACATAAATTCCCCAAGATCACATTAAAGTATACGAAACTAGGTAAATCAGAACTGAGATTGAAAACCAGGCAGCCTTGTGAATCAATTCTCAGCTTCGTATGTCTTAAGAATAGCTAGGAATGTCAGGGAATATAACACTCCAACATGCTGGTTTTGTAGAATAACTATTAGAAGTGGCAAGAATTGGGCTTTAGGACGTATAAAACAAAGTTTTTCTCAGTTCTTTTCTTTATCCCAATTTAACCCAACTGATATTTTCCTGAAAATCCCTAATGAGTGCTGGTAATGGAGAGCTTATGTTAAACTCAGTTTTTTCAGCCTGGGGTAGGCAGAAAAATGGCCTCCCAAATATGTTCACGTCTTAATCCCTGGAACCTGTGAATATGTTACCTTACATAATAAAAGGAATATTGCAGATGTGATCAAGAGTTAAGCCTGAAAATGTGGAAACCATCATGGATTATCTGGACAGTTCCATCTAATCAAATGAATCCTTAAGAGTGAAGAACTTTTCCTGGCTGAATCAGAGAAATGCAATGCGAGAACTAGACTGGCCACTATTGGTTTTGAAGATAGAGGAAGTGGGCCATAAGGTAAGGAATGTGGTGGCATCTAGAACCTTGGAACAACCTTTAGCTGCAAACAACAAGTAACTAGGATATCAATACTACAACCACGATGAACAGAATGCCACTAACAACTAGAATAAGCAGAAAACATTATCTCCCCAAGAGTCTCTCAAAGGAATGCAGTCCTGATTATACCTTAATTTTACCCCTGTGAGACCTGTACCCAACTTCTGACCTACAGAACAGCAAGATAAATTTGTGTTGTTTTAAACCATTAAGTTGCAGTAATTGTTATATCAGCAAAAGAAAACTAACATGTGCACCCAGAAGCAACATTTGTAAATGTCCACATGGTTTCATCTCCAGTATTTAGCAACTAGGAAATTAGTTGACTCTTCTGTTTTAATTAAAGAATATTAAAAGAATTATCACTTTATCTCCACAGTGTATCATCCTGTTATCTTCCTTTCTAATTGGTGATGTCTACGATAATAACAGACACATTGATACTAAAAGTATGCTGTTAAAATACTTATATTTTACCTCTAACTTTCATCACAAAATGACCACCTACATAAATTTCATTATAAGGAGTCAATTTGTTATTAAACCAAAATTTAAAAGACAGATGACTTTTCATCAAAGAAAAAAAATGACTGATTGTGAATGTCCTCTGCTTTCCCTCAGGCTTCTAAGGACACAAAATTTGATGTTAGAGAGCCCATGTTTAATTCTTGCAGGTGTCCTTCCAGAGAAAATTAAGGAAATGCATAGTGAAAATTGAAGATTCTCTATATGGAGATAACCCCCTACTGTTCAAAGATTGAATGCAAATTTCTCCAGGATGAGGTTGCAAATATCTATCTATTCAAAATAAGCCAAAGTGTTAATGTGCTGTATCACTCTTACTATAATAGAAAAGTAATCCAAACTGCAAAGGACTATTCTAGCCAATTTGCAACAGTTCCTGTTAATGATAAGAATGCATGTTGCCACAAATTAGATTTTCAACTTGTGTTACATTACCAATACAAGTTTATTTTAAGGTCTACTCATCTATTTAAGAAGAAACAAACTTCCCAATTCAGAAATAACACCTAGTATCTATATAATTTTATCAGAATGTGGTACACTGACTCTTAGATTTATAAAAGTTACTCTAGAGGGATACTTTTTCTCCTTTGAACATTTGTCCTTGTGTAAACAGACCTAAATGGCCCCAGAGAAAATACAATGACACACTGCTTGAGAGATTTGAGGAGTGAAAAGCTGGGGAAAAGCCAGAAAAGTTTTCACAAGGGAGGTGATACTCAACTGTGGCTTTGACACTGTCGTGGCACAACTAGACACTGGGGAGAGAAAAAAGGGAGTAACAGGAGAAGCAGAGGCAGAATTTGGAAGTTGTGGATAAGAGCAACAGATGTGCGGCCGGGCACGGTGGCTCATGCCTATAATCCCAGCACATCGAGAGGCCGAGGTGGGCAGACCACCTAAGATTGGAAGTTCGAGACCAGCCTGACCAAAGTGGTGAAACCCTGTCTCTACTGCAAATACAAAAAATTAGCTGGGCGTGGTGGTGGGCGCCTGTAATCCCAGCTACTTGAGAAGCTGAGGCAGGAGAATCGCTTGAACCCGGGAGGCAGAGTGCCATTGCACTCCAGCCTGGGCAACAAGAGTCGAACTCTGTCTAAAAAAAAAAAAAGCAAGAGATGTGTAATTTCTATGGTCCAGAGCAGAGTACAATAAAATGAGGTATGCATGAGGACACTCTAGAGTGAGCCTTTATATTTCGGTACTCATTCGTTAGCCACCATGAATGGTCCAATATTGTTGAAAAAATGTTAACCTAGAACTTCCTATAAAGTTGAGGGTTTTTTTTCTTTGTTCATTTATTTGTTAGTTTGTTTGCATAGTTAAGGTCAACCTCTAGGAAGAATCACCACTACCATTTCCAAGTAAGCTGTACCTTCTAAAAAAATGCGTAGCTTCTGTCTATGACTAGAACTATACTGTGAATATGCTAACAAAGACTGGGAAAGCAATCTCAGTAAGAGTATATTATGATGGATTTCCTTAAGATGCATGGCAAATATATTTGTGCCTTATAAATGGAAGACTAAATGGTTTCTTCACATCAGAAATTGTAATATATGGCTATTACTCTTTTTTGTCTTTGGACTGAGTCTAACATGTTTTAAAATGACAACATTCAAAGGTTCAATTCAATTTAGGTAATCATCAGAAATGTCAGCTGTCTTTCAAAGGACCTTTGGAATCTGCCAAATTAGGCTAGAAATCATGCATGGATAGTTTTCATTACATGTGAGCTGACACTTTCTGCTTCTGGTCAAGAAAACCACATTAAAAAAAAAAAATGGTGTTCTGGGGACCTTAGCTTTAGCGCCTAAATAACACAGAAGCAGAAAGCAGCAGAGAATTTTTCCCCCATTATTACTCCAACTTTTTTCAAAACAAAAATTTGGATGCATCAAATTTTTGTGGTTTCTGAAAATATTGAAGTCACAGAAATTTGCGGTCATAATCACAAAAAAGATTCAATCACAGTTTGAACACTTTTACTTTTTAAATTAATACAAGCCATATTCTCATGGATTAAAAGTCAGTTTAAAATCAAGAAATCTTTGGCCTCATGAAATGAGAGGTCCTATGTTTTGAGAAAAATTTGACATGGTAATACCTACTCCATGTGGATAAATGAGTTCTTCACGAGGAGCCCAATTCATAGGAATTGGCCAATGTACCCCCTTCTTGCTGAAGAGGCTGCCGTCCTAGTACCAGATACGATTGTCTAGCAGAGGTGGACTGGGTTTGCCAGCACTCTTTTGTGCCAGGCAGATAATATGGAAAAGATCCTGACCCCAGATGGAGTTTTGTATCTGCAGTGCCTAGAACACAGACTGAGTCAGTGAATGTCAGTTACATCAAAGCCTCTCAATCAGTGCACCATTGGAGGCTGCACTGCAGGAGGCTGGGACAGCCCCAGCCCTGGGCCAGCAGCCAGACTCCTTCAGTTTATCTAAGCAGGCCATGGGAATCTGATTAATTTCTGTATACCAAAATTTGAAAAATATTTGGAGCACTAAATTAAAAGAATGTGTATTCCCATCAAAGAAATATCTAACAAACTGGTCAAAAAGAGATTGGTTCATGGCTTTTCACAAACATATTGTGATGAAATAAGTCAGTTGCATAAAATTCTTAAAATAATAATATGGATAATACTTTTTTAATGTGAGGATTTTTCTGGAAATGTCCTTTAAAAAAAAAAGATCCCTTCTCAGAAGGAAAAAATATATATAATATGCAACAAAAATATTTTAATCCAGCATCATAGCAATAATAAACTATCTACTACTTACAGAACACAAATCTATCTCATAATATTTTTCAAATATGCACAGTGTGTTTTCATGAGAATACTTATTTTTCAACAAGTCTTTAAAAATGATGGCTTAAGTGCTTTTGCTTTCTGCTTTTTAAAGTAATTTACTTTCCAAGTCTAAATATAATATTTTATCATTTTAAATAAAATTATTATGGAAAGATTTAATGGTTTTAAATCTACTGTAAAATATTTTCCTGACACATTGAATGATCCTTACCTTTGCTTTCAGAGTAGTAGCCACAGGATTCTGTGGCATCTAGGGAGTGACTGTTTAATCAAGCATGGCTACTTGTAATTTCTAATTCCAGGTCAACCTTGTTTGAAAGAAAATTCAAAGAAGTAAACTGTGAAGCACCAAAACTGTAAATTTTAATGTAGTTAAAATCCTAAATTCAATAAAAGAAGATGAAAGGACCCACTACAGCTTTTAGCAAATAAGTATAATTTCAATAGGCTATAGATTATATTTAGAGAGCAAAAATGAACATTTATTTTTAGAAGTGAAAAAGTCAAAATGATAATTAAAGCAGGTTTAGCCATGAAAAAAATTAAATATTCCATCAGAACAAAATGTGGATAGACTATCTTGGCCAATAAAGATTACATACGGATGTGAAAAAAAATTGCTGAAATCTCAGGTATGTCAAGTGCCATACTATTAATTTGCATTTGGTATCATCCTGTCATAATTTTCAAAAGCAATTACACCACTAAATGCACATGAAAGATAACAAGCTTTGTAATCAATAAGTGACCTCAAGAGAGGTGCAAATTTATCAACATATGCTTATTCCTCACCAAGTTTACCATACCCTCTTACAATTACCTAGTTTATAATATTGATGTTGATATTAAAATTATGTACACAGGGAAAAACAGACACACTGAATTTGTTCATAAATTCCTATGCAATGGCTTGATTACTGACAGTTACATATCTGCAGCTTAACAAGCATGTCATTTTTACTTATAGTCATAGCTTTGCCTAAGCATAAGCATATATGCAAAAGGCCATGGTGTTCCTTTTAGAATTGTTTAGGAATCAATCCAATGATTCAACTAAACAAAATAAGACTTTTTGCTATGGCATACTTAAGTTGAGCAACTAACTTCACTCTGTTTAGGCAGCCTCCCAAAGAATCCAGAAATAATTATCTGTACTCTAGATTTGTCCTCTAGTATTGCTTGTCTTGATATGACTCTATCTAGGAAAATCATACTTTTTCTTGCCTAACTAAAATAAGTCTGAAAATATTTAAAACTCTTAATATTTAGATAAAAATGCACACAGCTACAAATGAAAAGTCTTAATGCAATAATCCAAGATGTATAAAATAGGAACTAAAGAACATAGCTTACATTCTTTTTTAAACTCTATGGTTTTTTTTTCCAAATTAAGCTTGTATTCACACACAAAAGCATACCTGCACATATACCAAATACACATTTGAAGTTCAGTTGAATAATGTTATTTTAATTCTTTCAACAAAACTTTTTGAGCATTTACTTATGTGCCATGTATTATTTTGTAGGTACAATGGATATAGAAAATGTTTATTTCAGATAATTACTGGTTGTTTTACTAAATTACTACTCTCCTTTTCAGAATTTGATTTTCAGGACAACTCTCACTAGTGGACACCATGGCCCTCCTCTCCTCACTCCCTACCTCCAAGTAGCTTCCTAGATAAACAATATTCAGCCAAGCAACATTGAATGTAAATCATCCCAAGGAAAATATTCCTCCTCAAATTGAAAATGTGTGAGTACCTAATTCTGCATTTCACTTAAGCATTTCAGACCTAATTTCTGGGTCCTAGGACTTCATAATATTTTTTCTTATTATTTCAAGGCCATATGTCACCAAAATTATAATGTTAGTGAAGTTTTCCATTAGAGTTTTCTTACATGCACATATGCCTTTCAGCATCCTTCTCTTTTTTTAAAAAAAAAAAAAAATCTGTCCCAATTCCTGCTAATGTCCAACAACTTAAAGGTAACCAGGACCCCCAAGACCTGCCCATTATTAGAAGCTTTTTGTGTTCCAGATCAAGTTCATGAATCAAACATGCCATGTTAGCTTTTTGAGTTTTTACCTCTCAATTCTGGAAAAACTACTAGCTGTTTAATTCAATTATATAATAAGCAGAACTTGTGCTTATGGAAATGTAATTCTGGTTCTGATGACATCTACCATCGGAGATACTATAGTACAATCAGATCCCATTCAGCCATAAAACAAGTTATCTCATTGAGTCATAAATACCGTTATTTTCTCTCCTACTAAACCTGATTACTAAATCTGTAACATATTTAAATAGAGACTCAACATTAATCTGGTTTTATGTCATGTTCATATGATGTTTCCCAAATCAAACCGTTATCTACCTATATTACCCAAGTAAATGTACCACTAAATAAAAATACAGAAAAATTACTGGACACTCAATTTATAAGGACTCCCCGAAATAGTCACTTTTTTTTTTAAATTAACTTGGGAAGTATATTTCTAACCTAGGTCTAATGATTTTAAGGCATGGCTCCTATAACACTATTAATAATGTAGCCTGCTCCATGGCATTCTAGAAGCAGGGTGATAGGAACAATTCAGCAAAGAATTGAGGAAACTAGAAAATAAGTTTAAAAAGGTTATCATCCCACTCCCAACCCCAATATCCTTAGAAGAATTTTTCCCTCTTCCCACTCTAGTCACTTAAGAAGCATTGTTTTGAATTATGGCATTTTGCTTGGAGAGAGGAGACTCAATATACAACATATTGCTAAACTCATAAGAAAAAAATAGAACCAACATTTCAAAACACATTACCCACTTTTAATTTCTTCTCTTTTATATGCACAAAATGCTGTAGCAAAAACAAATTAGTCCACTTAGCCAGAAAGTCAGTTTCCTTTCCCTGCCTCAGCCTGCCATGCCCACTAATCCCCATGACCCACTACCCTTATACATACAGACTCCCCAAAATAATAGTTTTCGTCCTGTTATAACCAAATCCAGTAGGTAAAATGTAGAAGATTTTATAAATTATTGAGTCTTAAAAATTATTTCAAACTGCTGGTAAAATTCAGGATTATGTTTTTTAAAACATTAAAGAAACAACACTGTTAAAGGTAATACATTGCTGCATACAAAATTTGTGAATACTTGGGTATGTGAATTTTGTAAATGTTCATGGAAAATGTCTGAAAATCTTGAAAATCTACCAGGCTTATACCAATAAGCTTAAGTTCCTTCTCTTAGCAGAGCACTGAAACCAATGCTCATGTAATCCTCGCAGGCTCTCCCCAGTAAGATTTATGCCTCACTGAAGCAAAAAACAACTTTATGGTTTCCCACAGAGAAAGCTATTGGAACTTTTCTCAAACACTACAACATATAGAGCAGAATTCAGTAAAAGCTAATGGTTTGGACTGACCAAAGGTTTAGTTTTAGAAATAAAAAAAATCTCAGTATAGGACAAGCAGTCTCATGGCTGGACCTATTGCTATAACCAGTTAATCTCCTATGTTGAAATCTGAGCATTTAACTGAAGGGCATAAAACAGCACCTGTGACTTGAGACCGCTGAACTGGCTTAATGGGTTCTTCCCCTGACGGGAAGGTCTAGCATGTTTGTCTATACTCATGGGAGGGGCAGGAGTGAAACAGTGGCAATTCTCACTGGTATCTCATAAATTTATATTGAATTGCTCAGACTGCTTTGAAAATGCTCCATGCCATAAATCATAGATCATTCTAGTATCACTAGAATCTATGATTATAAACAAAGAGCTTTTGGAATTCTGGAATTTAAACATTCTGAATAGTTTATTTGTCTTGACGGAAAGTAAAAAGAACAAACTTGTTTTATACAAAATCAGATGCTCCAAATGGTCAGTTGATGATGATACCAATCAAAGAAAACTAAGGAGGAAGAAAAAGAAAACAGGAAAGAGAGGAGGCAACAGGAAAATCGGCCTTCTTCCTTCAGTCTACGGTAGGAATAACTCAATTGTCCCCCTTCTTCAAAGGGTGTGAATTCAGCTTCTCCTTCTTTACTTCCTTTGTTTCGTGTAACGGTTATTGGTGTTGGGCTTTTCTGGGTTATTCCCTTTTTTATATCTTATGCTTTGTTCAAACAATTGGGAATCCTCAAAGTCTGTCACTGGAAATTAAGAGCATGTTTTATATAGAATTTAGCAATTCTACATTTTGAAGAAACATGCCAATGAAGTAGGCGTTAAAAATAATATAACAAAATATATTGTATATGTGATAAAAGGGTGCTTACAAAATCACGGTACAGACATAAAGCACATGAAATCTGATAGTCTACATACTTCATAACGTTACATCCTGGGGTCATTTCCAATTGACATTTCAAGAAAAGGTTACATTCATATTGCCCTAGTGACTGAAAAATCACAAAAAAGTTAAGAATTTAAATGTATCACTACTAATAAGACGGTGGAAACTTTTCCTTATTAAACTAGGTTAGCGCTATCAATTTAAAGTATATTTCTGACAGTTCAAGCACATTTTTTGGCCATGTAACACGTCTGCAAATCTTAAATGGTTTCACATTTCTCTAAACCGTAATAAGAGCATAACATGAATATTTAAGCAGCTTAGCTTTGATATAAATATATTTGTTCAGGATATGCTGGCAGCAACCCAAAATGTAGTGTAATACCCTCAAAGCTGGCAATTCCAAACTCATTTAAGAAAGCAGATAATATAGGCTGGCAGCATTAAAGCAAATAAAGTCAATTAATTTTTTTCTTAATTTGTTTCCTCTAGCTTGAAATTGCCAGGGATGGATAAATCTGAAGATGAATGAAAAAAAGAAACTACTGGGAACGGAACAGAAACAAAAAAAAAGGATGGGAAATCTGAAGCTGCTATTTCTTATTCTGATCTTAATAGCAGGATACAGTTGAATAATAACATTATCTATTGGAGATCACTGAAATGTAGGGAGGGAATTCCATTTTGAAAACTTTAATATGTAGAGAGTCAATACATCATTTTCACAAGCAATATCCTTAGAAGAAAGGATTTTTTTTAGAACTATCATGCTACAGAAAACTGCATTTTTATAGTAACTGAAAGATGCAAAGTTACTGAAAAAATAAAACTGCCATTTTATTGTATTGCCATTAATCACATGGTTTGAATTTTGATTACTTGTAGAGACTGAGACTATTAAATGGTGGAATATTTCTATGGACAACATTCAGATAGTATTCTCAATGCTTCACTACTCCCTTAACCCATTTTGGTGTACTTTAGAAATGTAATACTGTCGTTGTTGGGTTTTTTTTAAAACACAAGAAAGCAATAAACACATTGAGATAGAATCCCCCTAACTTGCTCTCCAATAAAAACAGACTTTGCATTATTTAGTTTTTGCTTGAAGGCACTTCAATTTTTGATGCCTAAGACTGACTTAAGCATTGAGCAAACATATCTTTGTATGTATCATTGCCACCTTTTTAGGAAAATAAAATGTCATAGTGTCAAGCAGTTCTGGAGGAACTTGAAAGCAGTGCCTTATTTGGTATTTTGAGAGCAATATTTCTCAAGCCTGGCTACATGCTGGAGAACTTTTTAAAAAATGAAAAAAAAAACACAAAAATTTCATACACTGCAAGCACAGAGCAATTAAACAGCGATGTATTTGGGTGAAACCTCAGGCATTATTATCTTTTAAAGTTCCCCCATGATTTTCATATGCAGCCAAGCTTGAGAACCACTGGGTAAGTTATTCTTAAAGTGTTATTAGGGTTTTTACTATTGCTACATAAAGGACTCTAATCTTTAATTAAATCAAGGAACCATACTATGCTGATTATCAATACTATAGCCATGTTTCTTGAAGAAAGTGTTTAACATATGGAGATCCGTATGCTTCTCTTAGATACCCATATGCTCTGCTTCTATGTATGTTATTGAAAATACTATTTTAGCCTTTGTGTCACTTTCATAAGAAACATGTCCTCCATGTTTTGTGAATTGATTAATAGAAAGGTATTAAATATATACATAGCATGATTTTAAGTTAATACAAATATTTAAAGCCATAATGAAAAGAAAGCCATTTATTGGGAGAAAGTATTGGCTATTAGTTTTAGTACTAGTGAATACTGTTTTACCCTCGAATAGGTGTGAATATACCTTAACGTTGGATATCCAAAGTGTCTCCATAGGAAAGTGAAATAATATAAAATAAGTAGCACAAAATAAAGTCTCTAACTTTCACTAAAAGAGTGATGAAAAGGAAACTGACTTTGGCAGGCACATCTTCTGGCCAGTCACATTAAATATATTATTTCACCTTTCTTAAAAAACAAAAGTGGGAGGTATTTGGCACCCCCCCCCCCCTCAGAGATAAATAATGGGCTCTCAGAAAAGTTAGTAATTTGTTCAGGTTCACAAAATAATTAAATTTAAAAATGGGGTGCAAATCCAGATTTTACCTTTTACTTTTTTTCTACCATTCCATGCTGTCTTCATGAATGGTGGCTTTTGTATGGTTAATTTTCCATAAGACAACAGAAACAAATATCTCAAAATAAATTCCACATAATTAGTCTAGTTTTATTCAACCAATTTATTGACTGCCTAATATAATAAATGACTGCTAGTAGCTATGAAAGGCATAAGAATGATAACCATACGGCCCCTGTCTTCAAAGATATTAAATACAAATAATAATTGATAATAGAATGTTAAGAGCTATAAGAGAGATATAAAGCAAGGAGTACTATATAGCATCTCATAGGGAAGAGAAACTAATTTCCACATCAGAAATCAAGGAGGCTACGGAATGACAATTGAGCTCAAACATAAAGATTAAGTCCACATCAGAAATCAAGGAGGCTATGGAATGACGACTGAGCTCAAACATAAAGATTAAGTAGAATTTCCGCAGGATAAGGAGTTTGAGAAGACTGTGCAACGATTAATCTAAACAGGATGAAGAATGATTTAGAGACTGTTAAGTAAAGGGATCTGGCTGAAGTATAGAACACATGAAAAAATAGAGCGGGAAAGGAGATTCAAACATTGTCATGGGATCAAAATCAAAAGACCTGAAAGCTATGTTAAAGTTTATCAAATAGAATCCTCCAGTTTTACTCTGAGGAAACTGAAGCCCAGGGATATTTAATGTTTCACCAAATATCACACCAGTAATAACTGCCAGAGCTAAACACACACAAAAAATAAATCTCTTACTCTACTCCCTCAGTTTCTTCCCCTACCATTTCTTCCTCTCTCCTACCTTTTTCCTTCTTTTCTTTACTTCTCTATTTTATTCCTTTTTTCTTTTTCCTTCATGTCATTTTCTTTCTTTGGGGGATTGGAAGGGTATTTTTGTTACACCATATCAAAGTACATTAAATAGCAGGATAAAAAGGATGAACTCTATTATGTAGGCAACAGGAAACACCGAGTAGTTACTGCCACACTCAAGGGAACCAGTTACTTGCAAAATACATGTTCTCTGGTGTACATCAGCTATTAAGCCAGCTGGGGTCTGGACCAGAAGTTCTAAAGCTGATATTAAAATTGTCCCTGGTACAGAATCACATCCTTGAGGAGGTCTTGAGACTTCCAAATTTCTGGAATGTTCAGTGACTTTCAATCTGCCATATTTCTTAAACTCCAAAGATTCAATAACTTAGTAACAAAGAGATCAATGCTACAATAACATAGTACAATATTGTAATAAGGTTCACTCCTCAACTTACTGTGGATTCATTTAAAAAAACCTATGATGGCTCTTGTCTTGTTTATAGTCACTGTCTATTATTAAATCTATTATTACTAATTAAATCTATTATTACTAGAGCTACAAAATTTCAAGCCATCTGGATGTGATATGTGATTTGTGAATGATTTCCTAGATTTCTCTTGCTATCTATGATAGAAGTCTAAGAACTAGTAACCTTGAGGGCAGTTACATAATTTCCCTGAGTTGCAGAATGACTTTCAACAGACTCCGTAATATTTTGGAGTCAAGTAGTCAATGTATTGATTAATAAACTTACTAGAATAATTTATAAAGAACAAAAAATGAACAAAGAGTGAACAAGTCATGATGTTCTCTAATTTTCTTTAGCTTTTTCCAAATCGGAGAATTTTCCCATTTTCCAGCTTTTTCCCAATGCTTTATCTTTGAATTAATCGTCTCTACACTCCAAGAAAATCACGTACAAAGTCCCCCATCAGACATTTCTCCCTTTGTGTGTCAAAATATTAAAGGCATCTGAAATATCTGGAAAGTATTATTTGATTAACAAACAAATTGAAAGTATTCTACCATCAACACCAAGCTATATAGATTTTTAAATACAGTGTCAAAGAATACTATGCAGAATACTCTGGAGACACAGAGACACAAAGGAGAATCTGAATCAACAGAATTTGCTAAATTCCACCAGTTTATTATCATTAGATCATACTCTCTTTGTCCAATCATAATTCACAACTATCCACTTCTTCATCAAACCTAAGCATGAAAGTACACAAGTTTACTTGTTTCCTTGTGTTTTCATTTCCAAAGCCTCCCTTGTTGTGTAAAATTTATATTAAATAAATTAGCATGTTTTTCCCTTCTTAATCTGTCTTTTGTTACAGGTGCCTCAGCCTACATTATACATACTGCTGAGTGCTTCACATTGGCCTGGCTTTCAGGAAGCCTGGAGCTAAATTATGTTTGGTGTCGATTTCAGCTATAAAGTAATGCAGTTGTTTTTAAAAATTAAAAATTCAGAATAATATGAAATAAGAGATAAAAATCACTTTATATTCTTACAAATGAGAGAGATACTTGTTAATATTTTGGCAGTTAAATATTTTACTTTTGTTATTGACATTTATTTGATTACAAATGAGGTTAAAATTTTGGTAAATCAATACCATTTTTATTCCTTAAGAGAATTTGTATTTCTTGATATGTGAATTATTTCTCTTCATGTCTTTTGTCAATTTTCTTTACTAATATTTAAAGATTTTCCTCATAAACTCATAAGAAAACTAAACATAATGGTAATGGATGTATTTCTTTCCAGTATATTCTCTGCTTTCTTTTTATCTTTTAATAGTGTTCAAATATCCCATGAACAATAATGTAATGAACTAGTCTTCTTTTCATTACTAAATGGATGATGTAATCTTTCTTGTATGATAATTGTTTTTCTAAAACTTAGAGCTCCTTGAGATTATAAAGGACTTTCTAGCCATATGCTTCTACCCAAAGTCCAAGCTATGGACTTTAGTTCTAATGCTTGTATTTTAAATTGATGTGTGTTTCTGTGTTTGGAAGAAACACAGTGTGTCTGTTCCTTTCTCTCAGGCTATATCTGTGACTTCTTGCCAATCTTTTTGTTGCTGTCAATAAAACCCACTTCTTTCCTTTCATTCTCATGCTTCAAAATGGCTCATCAACCAGAAACATCATTTTTGTTAGAATTCCATATATATGACTAAATATATGTTGCAAGTATTTCATTAATATATAAATTTTGTGTCCAATCATATGATTATATAAATAAAGAAACTGAGGCCCAGAGAAATGAACTGATTTCCCTATAATCGCTTTACTGCCCACTAACTTATGGTTAGTTCAAATTTGGGAAAATAATTTGCACAATTTGATTGACTAAATATGTGTGATATTTAGATTTTTCCCCCATAAATAACTTCTTACACTTTGTTTCAGATCTCAGACTTAAATGTACTTGCAAAATATATTTATCAACTTATTTTGGTGCTCAGATATATGGACAGTTTAATGTTTGAAATCAAAAGTATATTTGACAAATATCCTAACATATGTATAATACATGGATTTTGGAAATAAAGATATCACTGTCCAAACTCTTGTTAAGAAATTTGAGGAAAACCTATGTAAAACATAAAAACAACAAAATATCCTGTGTTAGGTAGACTAACTCTAAAACAGTACATATTATGAAAGATTGATGCCTCTAATTAATCAAAAATTCAACAAGCCAATGCTTGATCTGGCTGCCTACATGTTAATTCAAGCCTGAATTATAGCATATAAAGTAATGCTCACATTATGGTCATGCTCATACTCTGTGCTACATGATTGAGTTCACTTCTAAGAAGTACATTTGTAATTGGGACAATGACAAGAGAATCAGGGAAGGAGACGGGATGACAAAAGGTCTGGTAACTACACTATAGAATGGCTTAAGTTACAAATCTTAAGTACAGCTATTCACATGAAATTGACATTAGTTCTATTTGGCCAAATGTCAATTTACGGATTTAGGGAAGGATTTTCTAACAATATGAATTGCCCCAAAAAATAATGGACTTTGAAGTACATAATGTCTCATCAATAGTTCAAGATGGTCATAAATAAAAATCAATCTGTGAGAGATATTGTAAAGATGTCAGAACTGAACTACATGGGAGCTACACTCCTTCTAATGTTCCCTGACATACATAGAAATCTATATATTTCCAGAAATCAGTAAAACTTACATTTCTACATATGTCATAAATATCCTAATATGTTAGGTAACCAATAACTGGCTGATTACAGCTTCCCATTTATCTATTTATACTATTTATAATCAAAATTCCTGAGAGAACTGTTGTTCTAAATATATGAAGAAAGCAAATATAGAGCTCTCTATTTTTGAAACCGATGTTATCCAAAGGGCAAATATGTAGACTTAGAATTACTGGGTCAGATTCTATCAAATGCCTGAGAAGAAATCAAATTTATAACTTAAGGTTCCCCATGGAAATTTGTGGAAAGAGGCAAAACTTCCTAGGAGGACATATTTATAAACCTTAGGTACCTTTTTCCAACAATTCCCCTCCAAGTCTCTAAGATTCTGCTTCTAAGATTCTTGGCCTTTTCCCACTGCAATGAGATATTAATGCTTTAGAAAGCTATTATTATTAAAGTAAATGTTTATATCCTTCAGCTGTGTTGAGAAAAGAAAAAAAGTAAAGGGCTACTGTAATATATATATACACAAACATAATATATACACACATATAAAATATATATAATATATAAATATGTAAAAATGTATACATATATATAAACATATAATATATAAATATATAAGCATATATACACACATAAAATATATATTATATATACACGTACAAAGTATTTTCCACACTCAATATGTCATAGTCAAAGCAAAAAGAAACGGTGATTGAGGTGGCTCTAGTAAGCCATGGGTAGTATTTCCATAAATTCTCTCACAAAAAAAAATACGACAAAGCCATGTGTATAGAGTGTTTTGAAAATTGTTTTGGCATTTAATCCAGTTATCCTTCAAAGTACAGGATTTTTAAAGGCAATATTGAAAATATATTTTTCAATATTCAAGAATAGTTTGAAGTTATTCTTTCAAACAGGTGATGGTAAAGTGATCTATCAATATATTTTCCTTTCTGAGGGCTTGTTCAGAAACATGTCTTACTAGCAAGAGCTTGACTATCTGATGTAATCAAGCTCTTTTACAAGATGACAATTTTATGCTACTAAAACCATAAGGTTCTTAGTGTATAAAACTTAGTGTATAAAAAAACTATCACTGAAGAGGAGAGGAATCAATGACACTTTAAATCTATTCATTGTAACAAAAAAAATCATTTTATTATCGTCGTAATAAGGAGTGTATTCTTTATAATGAAGTGTAATAATGAACTGATGAGCTGCATAGATAAAAAGGATGAAAAATTCATAAAAGTCCTGTGAATAACCCATAAACTCACTCAAACCTTTGCTATCAGGAGTATACTTCTAAATTTGCAAAATTTATCATTCAATTTAATTTGGTGCCTCATAAATTTATTCTGCCTAACTAGATACAGAGCAGTGGACTAAGTACTACCTGGGATACCAGGATCATAGAATCTTATATAGTCAGGATTATTAAAAATAAAGATTTCTGGTTACCAAGGCCAACAGGAACAGGCCAGGTGCTGAGTGGATAGAGGTAACACAGAAGAAAGTAGTATTTAAGCTAAGTCTTAAAAGTTGAGGAGGGATATCACAGGCAGAGATCAGAATGAATAAGACACAGAGGTGGTAAAGCATGAGATGTGCCTATGGAATGATTATAATATTAGGGCCTTATAGATGTAAAACTGTATTTTAACACACATTATCTCACTAAGTATTTGCAATGTCCATTAGTGTAAACAAGGCAAGTATTTTGGCCTCATTCATAGGTAAAAAGTCGCATAAAAATAGTTTCTATGTGTGCCATGAAAGGAAAAATCCTGGACCACATTAGTGAATGAGTCAACTACAGATGGGAAAAGTGGCTAGATCCCAAGTGCTGTAAAACTGCAAGAATTTGCTATAGAGTTAGTCAGGCAGCACTCATTTGGGTCCATAGCCCACGTTAACAGAATTTGTTTGCCCATTACAAAAGACACAGGAGAATAACTAGGGCAATGGAAAGATGAAAGAAAATTGGTAGAAGATCAAAGGGACAATAGATTCTAAAGTGGTTACAAATGTACTTTTGAAATGGCTGTCCCTGGAGTACAAGCTGAACATTTAAGCAGGCAAACCAGAATGAATAAGATGTAAGAGGGCATATGAGAAGGACAGAAGGACTCGGGGGAGGAGATAAATGAGAAGTTCATTATGGAAGTTGGAGTAAGATGTTGTGGTTCACAGAAAGTATGCTGAGTTATAGTTCTCGGATATGGAATATGTTCAAGTAATGAGAGTGTAATCACAATGATAGGAAGCTCAGATTGGCTGAAGCTTAATAGAGACAACCACCATCAGCTTTTAGGAGGTGGAAACCATGAGAGAGCAGGGTCATCAATGGTCATCAATATGAGTACTAAGTCTCTAAATACAATGGCAAGAGAAAGCCATTGAGGAAGACTAAACCAAGTCCTTAAGTTATTGAGGAAAAGGAGAGTAGGATAGTGCAGATCAAGGAGTATTCTGAGCCTGCCTCTCAGTTCCAAGATTCTCAGGGAATTGATAGAGAAGCAGCCTGAACAGGAAAGGAATGCCAAGGATGCTGTTACATACTGGGTATATAAGAAGGAAGAAGAAATGTCTGAGAAAAAAATTAAATCTAAGATTAGATTGGTCCCAATAGAATGAGACATGCAGCAGCAAATTAGGGGAAATTAATATATAGCAGATGCGGTGGACTGGCCCCAGGGGCCTGTAGAAAAGAACTGGCAAAGATAAGAAAACAGAGGTATATGCTGATAAAACAGAGAAGCTTTTATCTAAGGGGGAGAAATGATCATGATTCAGTAATGAGGCAAGGAGTAGTGAGCAGACAGAGAGTAGTTAATGAAGAAGCATTTAGTACCATCAACCATGTGAGTCTTTTTTCTTAATCTGAAAAAGTACAGATTTTCAATAAGAAAGGATTGCAATTCCTGAATTGAAAATTTTTACTTAATAAACAAATAGTATACTCCTATAAGAAAATGCAATTAAGGAGAACTTTGCATATAAATTGAAGGAATTCTATGAACTTGAATCATTATACCTTTAAAAGAAAACTAGAAGCCAACAGCCACCAAAGGCTATTATAAAACCATGTTTTCATTCTTAATTTGGAAACTTTAATACATTTTACAAATAGTATTTTTAAAAACATATTGCTACATTGCCAAGGCTTAGAGATAAAACATGTTGACCAAATTGAATATATTACTTAATATAAATCTAAAATATTTTTAAAGTATTAAAGTAATAGCTATATGAATAAATACAAGAGCAACTTCCACTCAGACTTTATCTCAGCATATAGGAAAAATTCTACCTTGAGAAAAAAAGAAAATAATTTAAGAATAAATACAATTTAAGATGAGTCGGATGTGGTGGCACATGCCTGTAATCTCAGCACTTTGGGAGGCTGAGGTAGGAGGATCAGTTGAGTGCAGGAGTTCAAGACCAACCTAGGCAACAGAGCAAGACCCCGTCTCAAAAACAAACAAACAAACAAACAAACAAACAAAAAAACCCGGAAAATCAGCTGGGCTGGGCACGGTAGTGCATACCTGTAGTCTGAGCCAATTGGGAGGCTGAGATGGTAACACCCCTTGAGCCCAGGAGGTAGAGGCTACAGTGAGTCATAATTGGGCCATTACACTCCAGCCGAGAAGACAGAGTGAGAGCCCATCTTGAAAAAAATAAAAAATAAAATAAAATAAATTTTAAAATAAGAATAAAGTAAAAATTTTAAAAGAATAAATACAATCTAAAATTGAGGTATGGCAAATTACATTAGATATAGGGCAAATGTTTTCCGGTAGTATTCTTATTTCTAGAGTAAGTAATCAAGGAAAAGGGAAAACTATTACCTTGATTCAGTTCAGAATCTCCCAAATATATGCACATATTCAAAAGATGTATCCTACTAAAAGTTTCAGAAATAATTTTCACTGATATATAATAATATTAATCATTTCTTAAATGATTCATTTAAATATTTTCTCATCTGAAATGAACCTGCCCCACTTTAGCTTTATTGTTGTCTCAAAAGATATGGTTGAACAAAATTGAATTCCTTGATTAAAACTCAGAAACCTGTATCCACTTGTTTGCCCTGATGAATCATCACAATACTGCCACATAATTTATTTTGATGTTTAATGTATTCTGCTTTTTCTATCAATCACTAGGTATTTTTAGTGCTTTTCTGTATCACAGTATTTCTTTTTGTAAATTAGAATTAAATTATTTAGTTTCCAGATACTTATTTTCCACATTTAGAGACATTTTGCCCTTTATTTTATTTCAAGTAAGCTGTTTGATTCTTGAAAAGTAAAAGTAATATTGTACTTTACTCACTTTATTTACCTATACATAGGATGTTTATTAGCTCCCCTTGTTCCTTAAGTAACTATGTGCCTCTTATCCCAGGTGCCTTTCCTTAAAGACCCCTTTCGTACTTTGAATTTTTAGAAATAGTGACACCTTGACAATCTCAAGGTGATCATTCTGTGATGCATTCTATTACACTGAGAATAATAAGAAAAATGAAATAGTGTGATGCAAATGGAGGTAGTGGTGGAATCAAAATTATTCATGCACTATTCTATTGTAAACATTATAGGAAAAGAAAGAGTAAAACTGGAAAAGAATCTTATGTTATTTATTTGCGGATTCAGTCAAGACTTGCTAACAGGAGAAGTAGTAAATACGCTAATGCAAAGAAATCTGGGAAAACAGTCCAGACGGAGCAAAAACCGCCACCCTCAGAACAAATCTGCCTACTCCCTACTTTTGTGAATAGTTACATTGAATCCCAGCAGGGACCAATCATTTATGTATTGGCTACGGCTACTTTCATGCTATAAAGGTAGGGTTGAGTAGTTGCTACAGAAATCATGTAAATATTTACTAGCTGGTCCTTCACAGAAAAAGTTTGCCAACTCCATGTCTAGGTTCAAAGTGGTTCTCCATTGTTCTGTCCCCTCCATCACTCTTTGTGTTTTATACTTCCTTCTAAACCCTATGTCAACAAATAAAAAACTTAAGTTTGCAGCGTGTCTTTCAAGAAATCTGGCAGCATGTCAGGCAAGTATTAAGGTTCGGAGACAGCCAAGTAAAAAAGGGCTCCCCAGAGAATCTCCAACCAGCCGGCGCACTGACTGGCAGGATGGGGTGAAACCTTGGGAAGTTCCTGCTGTTTGCAGGGGGAAAGGAGCCTGGCCTCTCCTGTTCCTGGGTGGTAACCTGGGATTCAACAGGTGAGGTGAAGAGCCTGTTAGCAGGACCCCATCTCACTTTGCTGTGTTATTTTTCCTTTTTCCTTTTCTCCCAACAAACTCCATCCTCCCCACCCTTCAAAGTGTCTGTGAGCCTAATCTTTTCCTGGTCCTGTGACAAGAACCTGGTTTTTGGCTGAACTAAGGAGACAGTCCTACAACATTTTCAGACACATCTGTGGCCAAAGCCGGGGTTTCATGCTATCCTTTTCTGCCATCCAGCAAACCTTCAAATCTCAATCAACGTTTCTTCTCTTTTTAAAATTACCTCCACCCACTCTTATCTCTTGGAGTTTTCCCTCTCCCAAGAATTGGAAAAATTCTGCCCTGTTCACCCCTTTTTTTTTTTTTGTATCTCCCAAAAGACAAGTATACATATCCTTTCACTATAAGAAGTTTCCCAGACTACTTTCTTATGTTCTGTAGCTTTGGCAAAGTAAAATAAAATAAAGTGGAAGCTAAACATTGAGCACACATGGACACAAAGAAGGGAACAACAGACATTAGGGCCTATTTGAGGGTAAAAGTTTGAAGGAAGGGGAGAACTGAAAAACTACCTATCGGGTGTTATGCTGATTCCTGGATGACAAAATTATCTGTACACCAAACCCCATACATGTTTACTCATGTAACAAACCCTGCACACATACCCCTGGAACCTAAACTAACAGTTGAAAAGAAAAAAATGAGGCCATAAAGACTCCTAACTTCATTAAGCTTTTTCCAGACTTGAAAGTCTATCAAGGTGGAACTATTGATGTTTGACCGCGCCAAGCATGTAAAGAATCTCTTAAACTGCATAATACCGTGTTCTGGGTAGCACAAGCATATACAGTTTTAAGATAAAAGAAAAACAAAAAACTTGTTCTCTCACCATATGCATGAAAAACAACTTGAGATCTTCTAGAAAAATTGGAAATGATGACTGCTTTTTGTTTGTTTGTTTGTTTACTTACACTGTGGTATCAGAACAAAATTTTATTCACCAACATTTCAGGAGATTCAGACTGGTCTGGTAGGGCCTATTCCCTCAAAAGCAAGAATACTGTGATGACAAGGGACAGAGAGTAGACTACTCAGAAAGAATCTCACAGCGAGGACCAACCTGCATGGGGTTACTGGCTTTTGGAAAGAGCTGAGCTGGAAGAGAACACAAAAGTCTGAAGGCCTGGGCTGGGTGTAGTGGCTCACGCCTGTAATCCCAGTGCTCTAGGAAGCTTGAGGCAGGAAGATCACTTGAGCCCAGAAGACCAAGGCTGCAGTGAGCTATGATTGCAACACTGCAATCTGTCCTGAGCAGCAAGACAGAATAAGATCCTGTCTTAAAAAAAAAAAAAAAAAATTCAGGCCTGCAAGGTAGAAGATAGACCATCTAACACTCTCCTTTCTGTAATCTTCAGTAAACAAAAAACAAAAAAAAAAAACAAAAAAGCATTTCTTTCTCGTAGAATCTGACAAGGAGGCTGAGGAGTTTTTGGTCCTAAAGGCCCTTGCGTATTTAGGAGGAAGGGCGCAGACAAACACAGGAAGTTACAAACTTTGAGCTGCTTTAAACCCTCAAACAGAAATATGAGTAAATGTGTCAATATGTTTTAGGGCAGAGAAGGGCCCTCTGTTGGAATCCATTCATCAATTTTATTATTATTTTTTAACTGAAAAGAACTAGAAAGTATAGTTTTTGGACAACTGCATGGGTGCAGGTTCTATCACACAGACAGAAAGATGTACAGCTTTCAGTTCCTTAGTCCAGTTACTTCCAACTGGGCATAATAATCTTCCTCAAATGATTTTCCTTCAAAGTTGATCAGTCTTAGAATTAGTTGATTAACCAGATCAACTGCACAAGCATTTGAACTAGGGTTCTTGTGGCTCTGAACCATTGGGTAAGGAAATAAAGATTCAAGTGCCTCAGCAGGATTATCTTAATAACTGATTAACTTAATGCACTGAGCTAAATTATGACTTTGTTCATTTCTTCATAAAATCTGTTTTTTCTGTCCAGTTTTTGTTAATGTCAATTGAACCTTGTCAAATAAGATTGGCCCATGCTGTGTCTTATACCTAATTCTGTTGAATTTTTTCTCCGTCCAATTTCACCTTATTTCCTGTTGTTTTATTGTTTTAGTAGATTCTTTTTCAAGCACTTTTCCAGGGAAATATTTTTCTTTGATACCCCATCATTTTTTCTACAACTGCATATTATGATCTTACATATATTTCTTGGAAATTGTGTTATGTCTTCCATTGGCACTTACTAACTTTTTTAAAAAATTCCATAACAATTTGGTCATAACCTCACCGAAGTGGTCATCTTCCAATGAGAACATTATTGCCATAGTTGCAGTTTTTAAACCCAGATTCTCACTAACAATAACAAATGAATATTTTCTCAGGAATCTTTTCAGGAGTCTTCTTTTCACAAGACTCTCTCAAAGATAAAAATTATTTATTTTTCATAAATTGCATTTAAGTTCAAGATAACTAGGTATGCCTATATAGCCCAAAATTCTAAACCAGAAGTCCATTTAAAAATAATTACATCATAGGTAAGATAGCTACTTATAATACCTATATCTTATATAGATATTTTCTTGTTTTTGTTATTTCAACTACAATGCATTTCCATTTTTGAAGTAATTATCAATATACATATTTACATGTATAATGATGGCTTTCATTAAGGAAATTGAAAAGGAGAGGGATATTTATTGAAGTCAATATTGCATAATGGAAAAGTCCCATGTCTTTAGAATCAGAAAATCATGGCTTTAAGTCCCTAATTTTGTGAATTTGGGTAACCTAGTTAGCTGTAAAATGTAGTTCATCTAAAAGATAAGACTGGGGATAGATAATTTTCTCATAGGGTTGTTGTGAGGATTGGATGAGATAATTGAGATAATACTTGTGTAATGAAGACTTTGAAGCTTCATTACACACTACATGGCTGTTGCAACTATGCCTGCTTTCTGAGGGTAAAGGCCTCAAGATGCTCTTTATGCATAAAGCTGTTACTTTGAACCATGGGCATCCAATGAAACCATCTCTGCTTCCCAGGACAAAATAAACTGGGTAAGGGATTAGTGCCCAAACTACAGTCCCATGGAACAATGAACAGTAAGAATAATCCATATGATATAAACATATATAGACCCAATGAGATACACTTTTAGGATTTAGAATACTCAGCGCACCAGACAGATGGTCACTGAGCTTCAGCTGTACATTGAAAGCAGCTGAGCAATTGTTTAAGATATCTATGTAGCCTATTTTACATCTCAGGTTTAGAAGTTCTGAGATAAAATTGGGACTGAAAGTAACGGACACCAAGTTGACCTAAAATATAACAAACCTCATTAGTTCTATACACTTATCAACAACCTCAATAACCATTGTTATTATTAGCACAAAAATCAATGCAGTTTACAAAAGTGCATGTTGCCTTATAACAAATTTGTCCTTTCTAGGCAATCTAATCTGTTCTCAGGAATTCAATTGTCATCTGTGTGGCAATGGCTCTTAAATCCCCCAGTCTGTGACTATGATTTTAAAGCACATTGTTCCTTATCAATTTAATGCGAAGAAATACTAATCATACTTGACATGTCACTTTGAAATCTTACCTTATATATATTTACTGGAAAGTAATGATTTCACGCATTTATTAATCACAAATATGGACTCATTAAAAGAGTGTGCCAGAACGATGTTGAGCACATTTCTTGATGGCAATCTCACAATGTGGCTACATTATTTTGGTCTTTCTAAAGGACTCTGTATTGGAAAGAGTTTCCAATATATATTCCATTTACGAGTTCCACACATATTGATAAGTACGATAGTGGAGCTATTTACAGGAGGCATTATCTTTTAGAATTATAAATCTCTCAAATAAAATTCATCTAAAGAATTAAAGCAATTAAGTTAATGGCCAGTGTCACTTCAGAACGTATCATTCTGGTCAATTATGTCATTCTATGAAAAATTAAAACATTTCAGTTGGCTAAGATCAAGACAAAAAAAACAACAACAAATAAATGTCTTCCCTTGAGCTAACCAAATCCTAATGAACTTCTAAAGCCCATTTCATGTCCCACTTCTTCCATATCTTCCCTAATCACTTACTTTAACCCACAAGGACTACTAACATGCTAGAATTACAATGAGACTTAATGTCTATATAACAAATGTGGCACTTAATAAATACCCCCATTAAACCTTCATTTGATGGACAATATGTAGATATAGAAAGACTTTGTGATCCAAGCAAGGTATCATAGCTGTTTGGTAGCAAAACTAGGACTACTAGAATTTAGGAGGCTTCCTGTCAAGTTTATTTCCACTAGTCTACATTCTCCGCCCACTGCTTCATCCTTTATTTCCTTTTGTATTTGTTTTTGCCTCTCACAATTAAAGCATAAGATCATCGAGGGAACAAGGGTGGAGTGAGGAGTGATCTTGGAAGGGTATATAAGGGAAGTACCAGGCACTCTATTAGAATGATTTGTGTGTCATTTATTCTACTTGTTACAATAACCCTGTATCTCTCCCTATTTTACGGGCGAGGATCTGAAGCTCAGAGGAATGATGATAGCTGACAAGCTGGCAAGCTGGACAGATGGTCACTTTGGGAAAATAAGTAGTATTATACTGTATGTACTGTAAGTGAATCAATATGCTACTATTGCCCCCACTCCCTAAGGTATTAAGAATGTATCCACATTTATTTACAACACTTTCTTATTCCTAAGAAATGTCTTGTGAAATTACAAGTTGTTAAAAGCATAATAATGAAGAAATAGAGAAGGAAATTTTAATCACAATATTTAGTCTACAGCAACAAAGAATATTAAAAGGATCTTTGAAGTAAATGGAAATAGACCAATCCTTTTTGTCCTAATTCACACCGTTGTTGGCAGTTGTGAGGTACATTAGATGCTCCCCACATGATGTTTCTATTATGTAGCTAGACCATTATCAATAAAGGGAAAAGGAATATATTTGCTAAGATTTCCATTACCTAAATAGGTCTCATGAAGGAATGCAGCAGGACATTTTTGCTAATGCCTTTCATTCTGTTTGTGAAAATGGAAACAGAGGATTTTTCTCAGTATAGAAATAAGTCAGCCATGTGGTCTATTGTTGCTTGCTTGCATCAAGTGATAGAATATCTCTCCTCAGTCTTTAGTAAATTTAGGCATTTTCTTTGCCAACCATTGGCTGTAGTAAGGACACTGTGAGTTTTAATATTTTAATTTGTTTACAAAATAGTATAAATATATATATATATATCCATATAGGTATTGAACTCTAAAATTATTTTTAAAATTCATGCAATACATAACTGTAAACTAGATCAAGATCTCTACTTTAAATATGATGATTTGAGCCATTTTAATCTTAATTTAGACGAAATTTACAATATAATTTTAAATTATATAGGACTTTTAAGTATACATATTTAACAAACCTGCATGTTGTGCACATGTACCCTAGAACTTAAAGTATAATAATAAAAAATAATAATAATAATAAACTTTAAATCATTATTGACTTTTACCAAATCCTCCCCAAAACTCTATAAAATAAGAAAGGAAAACTAAAAGATCTTAAATCTGGTGATTTAGTTCTACAAAAGATTTATACATAAAATGAACTGAGAAGAATCTGAAAATTTGCTGAAGATACCAATTCCCCAAATTATATATTCTCTATCCAGACTAGTTCTTGCTCCCACATAAAAATCTTGCTCCAGTAAGAGTGGGGGTAACATAAATCATAGGATCTAAATATGGAAGAAACCTAATTATCTACCACACCCCCACTCTATTCAAGTTTTGCTACAGAACATTTTTCTTACAAGGCAAATGCTAAATGTCTCAGTACACAGCCTTGCAGCTAAAAAAATTTTTTTAACAATGTCACTAAGAGTTCAGTATAAAAAAAAAATCATTATCTTTTCAGTCAAGCTTTCTGTTTTGTGCACTATCCTGAATCACTCAAAAAACATATTGTAGGAATAAAATATACATGAACCTCTGAAAACAGAGTTTGAAAAAATAACTTGAACTTACTGCCTATTTATCTCATAAAAATGAATAATTAGTAAAATGTAGCTATATTAATATTTAAGTATATACACATGTACATCAACTTATTCAAATATTTTAATCCTGAAAAACTGTACTCTGAATAGATAGGAAGTTTATTAACCAAATCTTGTTTCAAATGCTATAGGCAAGATTACGCTAACAGAGAATCTTAGCTTGAATTTTGAAAAGGATAAAGAATATAACTTTTTAAAAATATATATGCGCACATTTGAATATTTCCATATGAAATAAAAGAAGGGAAGAATAAAGAAACAAATTAGGAGGCCACTGCAATTATTCATGTGTAAAAGTAATGAGTACCTGTCTATGTATGTAAAGACAAGCTAGATCCAGGAAGCTTTGATATTGAAAAGTCTCCAAGTCCTGAAAAAATGATTAAACTTGAGAAGTAAGGGAAGAAAAAAGTCAAAGACAAATCTAAGATTCTGAGTCCAAGTGTCAGATGGAGAATGTCAATGGCATTAATCAGAAGAGAAAGTGGGTTCTGAAAAGAACAAAACAATGATCTTTGGGCACATGGATCTTGAGATATCAAAGGAAATTTTAATAGCATGGAAAGAAGACACAACTAGAGATAGAGATTTAGAAATCATGTGTGCAAAGGAAATTTACTAAGCCACTGGCATGGAGATCATGGAAAAGGGAGACGCCTGGAGATGTCACCAACAAACTGGGAGAAAAACAACTTCTGGACCACAATGAAAAAACTGGAAAAGTGGCTTATTTGGAGGAGGGGATTGAGGGGAAGGGGGTTGCTATTCCCCAATTTTAAAAGTCTGTTTTCAACTTTCTTTTATTGCCAAAAAAAAAAAAAAAAATCACCGTGTGCCTTCACAATGTAGTTAATTGGGAGAATTGTCTAAATCTTGGCATGGTTTAAGCAGGACAGAGATTGAGTCCTGAAGGGAGTGATGTCAGTTCTGAATAGCAGAAAGTGCCACATCAGACAAAGGTAAGGATTATTCCATGGTTCACAATAACTTCTGGGGAATTAAGTGCAAGACATTGTCACACTGCTGAGTCACACTATATTAAAAAAAGAAGAATAGAAAAGTACACTCATTGGTTCTGGATGAAAGCACTCAAAAACTCTGCTTTAGAAACTGTTGTACAGCAAGGAAAAATGGAGTCAATGGAAAAGAAAAAAATAATAACTCTAAGAGTTGGGACTATGTGATCTATTATTTTCTTTGAAAGTGCAGGCTCAGTTTGTGCAACCTAAATCTCTCTGGATAGAATTTTCTTTTCTCCTTAGGCTCTTCCTCAGGAGCAAAAACAGATTTGCCAAGTACCCAGGGTCCTCACGGGGCAGCTGCAGAGAAATAAGCAAAACATTATTTATTTCCTTTGGTTTATGTTTCCCTTTCAGGAATTATGGTGAACAGCTGGGGAGAGAAGTGCCCCATTTACAGTGGTACCACCACTGACATGTCTCACCTCAAGAACAAAGGGCAGCCCACCATGAGGGACCGGGTGTGTGACATGTTAGATAAACACAGAAAGGCCAGGAAAATCCCCCTAATGTGTAAAAGGATTGGTCTCATTCCAGAAAGTAGTAGGAAAATAAAATATTTTAAATCTTCACATCCAGAAGGTTAATATTCAAACTGTTAAACTCGATAGAGCTATAAAATTTTACCCAAGATTCACAAACTCCTCTGATGGAAAAATGTATAAATGACATATTTTTCTTCTTCTTCTAACAAAAAAAAAAATATTCAAATTAGTGAGGAAAGTCTGCATGTCAGAAATTCTGTTCACTGAATCAGACACCTACA